>NT_187649.1:0-162896 GCF_000001405.40 Homo sapiens
GAATTCTTCCCTGAGACTTTGTCTCTCTGAGTATCATCTTGCCAACTATCTAGGAGCACTGAGGTTGAAAAAAAGGGTGGGAGCGGTGGCTCACACCTTTAATCCCAGTACTTTGAGAGTCTGAAGCAGGAGGATCGCTTGAGGCCGGGAGTTCGACACCAGCCTAGGCAACATAGCAAGATTCCACCTCTACAGAAATAAAAAAATTACCCAGGCATGGTTGTGTGTGCCTGTAGTCCCAGCTACTCAGAAGGCCAATTACACCGCTGAACTTCAGCCTGGGTGACAGAAGACCCTGTCTCTCTTTCTCTCTCTCTCTTTCTTTCTCTCTCTCTCTCTTTCTTCTCTCTCTCTCTCTCTCTATATATATATGTTTAAAAAGAAAAAAGAAAGAAGTTTGAGAACAGCTAGGGAACTAATGAAAACCCAAAAGAGTCAGTTTCTAAGAGAAAAAAAAAGGCAAGTTTTCTTGGTTTCTTCTTGGTTCAGAGACTCAGAGGCTAAGGTAATATTCACGAAGATGGTATGTGGCTAGTGCAGGTGCTGTGAAATATTTTAAACAAAAAAAGCCAATATTTAAACATTCTGCCTGGGAAATATTTTTCTTTATTTATTTAATATCTATTTTTATTATTATTATTATTATTTTTATTTTTTAAGACACAGGGTCTCGCTATCTTGCCCAGGCTGGTCTCAAACTCCTGGCCTCGAGTGATCCTCCCACCTTGGCCTCCCAAAATGCTGGGATTACAGACATGAGCCACCATGCCTGGCCTCTGCCTGGGAAATAATTTTTTTTTAAAAAGTGGTTATGGTCAATAATATTAGCTTCTTGGTAGTCTGTGACCAGGGCAAGAGTATATGCATTTACCCCTTGGGTTTTTTACCAGATTGGCACAGATGTTAACAACGAAAAAGAAAAGTAGAAATTTAATTTATTTTTAAGAAAGATAATGCTATAATTCAAGTTGAGAGAGTTAACCCGGCTTATAGCAGGGGTACTGTTTGCCTCTTCCCATGGAGTTTAACACAGTTAATTCACCATTCTAGTCTAACCTCACCTTCCTCCTCACAAGGAAGACAGGCGGGAGCTGGAGAAGACCATTGGCTATATTCCTGCAACTGTGCTTTTTCTAGGCGATTTGAAGCAGTGCTTATCAGGGGCCTTCCTCTGTGGGAATCCTGCACCCCCATCTCTCTCTCCTTTTTTATTTTATTTATTTATTTTTTTTTTGAGACAGAATCTTGCTCTGTCGCCCAGGCTGCAGTGAAGTGGCATGATGTCTGCTCACTGCAACCTCCACCTCCTGGGTTCAAGCAATTCTCCTGCCTCAGCCTTTTGAGTAACTGGGATTACAGGCACCCACCACCACGCCCAGCTATTTCTGTATTTTTTTTTCTAGTAGAGACGGGGTTTTGCCATATTGCCCAGGCTGGTCTCGCACTCCTGACCTCAAGTGATCCACCCATCTCAGCCTCCCAAAGTGCTGGGATTGCAGGTGGGGCTACCATGCCCGGCCCCATCTCTTATTATTTTTTTATCCCCCAAATATGTACAGTTGTGATATATTAATTTTTCATTTTTTCTTTTTATTTCTTTTCATTTTTACTTTAAGTTTCAGGATACATGTGCAGAACGTGCAGGTTTGTTACACAGGTATATATGTGCCATGGTGGTTTACTGCACCTATCAACCCATCACCTGCATGTATTAGCTATTTATCCTGACGCTCTTCCTCCCCTTGTCCCGTCCCTGACAGGCGCCAGTGTGTGTTGTTCCCCTCTCTGTGTCCATGTGTTCTCATTGTTCAACTCCAACTTATGAGTGAAAACATGCAGTGTTTGGTTTTCTGTTCCCCTGTTAGTTTGTTGAGGATGATGGCTTTCAGCTTCATCCATGTACCTGCAAAGGACGTGATCCCATTCCTTTTTCATGGCTGCATAGTATTCCGTGCTGCATATGTACCACATTTTCTTTATCCAGTCTATCACTGATGGACATTTGGGTTGGTTTCATGTCTTTACTATTGTAAATAGTGCTGCAGTAAACATACGTGTGCATGTATCTTTATAACAGAATGATTTATATTCCTTTGGGCATATACCCAGTAATGGGATTGCTGGGTCAAATGGTATTTCTGGTTCTAGATCCTTGAGGAATCGCCACACTGTCTTCCACAATGGTTGAACTGATTTACACTCCCACCAACAGTGTAAAAGCGTTCCTATTTCACCACAGCCTTGCCAGCATCTGCTGTTTCTTGACTTTTTAATAATTGCCATTCTGAGTGGTGTGAGATGATATCCCTTTGTAGTTTTGATTTGCATTTCTCTAATGATCCATGATGATGAGCCTTTTTTCATATGTTTGTTGGTGGCATAAATGTCTTCTTTTGATAAGTGTCTGTTCATATCCTTTGCCTGCTTTTTGATGGGGTTGTTTATTTTTTTCTTGTAAATTTAAGTTCCTTGTAAATTCTGGATATTAGACCTCTGTCAGATGGTTAGATTGCAAAAATTTTCTCATTTTGTAGGTTGCCTGTTTGCTCTGATGATAGTTTCTTTTGCTGTGCAGAGCTCTTTAGTTTAATTAGATCCCATTTGTCAATTTTAGCTTTTGTTGCAAGTGCTTTTGGAGATTTCATCATAAAATCTTTGCCTATGTCTATGTCCTGAATGGTATTGCCTAGGTTTTCTTCTAGGGTTTTCATGGTTTGGGGTTTTACATGTAAGTCTTTAACCTGCCTTGAGTTAATTTTTGTATAAGGTGTAAGGAAGGGGTCCAGTTTCAGTTTTCTGCATATGGCTAACCAGTTTTCCCAGCACCATTTATTGAATAGAGAATCCTTTCCCCATTGCCTGCTTTTGTCAGGTTTGTCAAAGATCAGATGGTTGTAGATGTGTGGTCTTATTTCCAAGGTATCTATTCTGTTCCATTGGTTTATATGTCAGTTTTGGTACCAGTACCATGCTGTTTTGGTTACTGTAGCCTTGTAGTATAGTTTGAAGTCAGGTAGCCTCCCACTTTGTTCTTTTTGCTTAGGATTGTCTTGGCTATTTGGGTTCTTTTTTGATTCCATATGAATTTTAAAGTAGTTTGTTCTCATTCTGTGAAGAATGGTAGTTTTCACATCCTTTGTTAGCTGTATTCCTAGGTATTTTATTCTATTTGTAGCAATTGTGAATAGGAGTTCATTCATGATTTAGCTCTCTGCTTGCCTATTTTGGTTCACTCCAGGAACCACAGAGGACACATTAATAACTGGAAGTAAAACTGCTGCCCCAGTCACCTCAACAGGCTCAACAACAGCGACACTAGAGGGACAATCAACTGCAGCTTCTTCAAGGACCTCTAATCAGGACATATCAGCTTCATCTCAGAACCACCAGACTAAGAGCACGGAGACCACCAGCAAAGCTCAAACCGACACCCTCACGCAGATGATGACATCAACTCTTTTTTCTTCCCCAAGTGTACACAATGTGATGGAGACAGCTCCTCCAGATGAAATGACCACATCATTTCCCTCCAGTGTCACCAACACACTCATGATGACATCAAAGACTATAACAATGACAACCTCCACAGACTCCACTCTTGGAAACACAGAAGAGACATCAACAGCAGGAACTGAAAGTTCTACCCCAGTGACCTCAGCAGTCTCAATAACAGCTGGACAGGAAGGACAATCACGAACAACTTCCTGGAGGACCTCTATCCAAGACACATCAGCTTCTTCTCAGAACCACTGGACTCGGAGCACGCAGACCACCAGGGAATCTCAAACCAGCACCCTAACACACAGAACCACTTCAACTCCTTCTTTCTCTCCAAGTGTACACAATGTGACAGGGACTGTTTCTCAGAAGACATCTCCTTCAGGTGAAACAGCTACCTCATCCCTCTGTAGTGTCACAAACACATCCATGATGACATCAGAGAAGATAACAGTGACAACCTCCACAGGCTCCACTCTTGGAAACCCAGGGGAGACATCATCAGTACCTGTTACTGGAAGTCTTATGCCAGTCACCTCAGCAGCCTTAGTAACATTTGATCCAGAAGGACAATCACCAGCAACTTTCTCAAGGACTTCTACTCAGGACACAACAGCTTTTTCTAAGAACCACCAGACTCAGAGCGTGGAGACCACCAGAGTATCTCAAATCAACACCCTCAACACCCTCACACCGGTTACAACATCAACTGTTTTATCCTCACCAAGTGGATTCAACCCAAGTGGAACAGTTTCTCAGGAGACATTCCCTTCTGGTGAAACAACCACCTCATCCCCTTCCAGTGTCAGCAATACATTCCTGGTAACATCAAAGGTGTTCAGAATGCCAACCTCCAGAGACTCTACTCTTGGAAACACAGAGGAGACATCACTATCTGTAAGTGGAACCATTTCTGCAATCACTTCCAAAGTTTCAACCATATGGTGGTCAGACACTCTGTCAACAGCACTCTCCCCCAGTTCTCTACCTCCAAAAATATCCACAGCTTTCCACACCCAGCAGAGTGAAGGTGCAGAGACCACAGGACGGCCTCATGAGAGGAGCTCATTCTCTCCAGGTGTGTCTCAAGAAATATTTACTCTACATGAAACAACAACATGGCCTTCCTCATTCTCCAGCAAAGGCCACACAACTTGGTCACAAACAGAACTGCCCTCAACATCAACAGGTGCTGCCACTAGGCTTGTCACAGGAAATCCATCTACAGGGACAGCTGGCACTATTCCAAGGGTCCCCTCTAAGGTCTCAGCAATAGGGGAACCAGGAGAGCCCACCACATACTCCTCCCACAGCACAACTCTCCCAAAAACAACAGGGGCAGGCGCCCAGACACAATGGACACAAGAAACGGGGACCACTGGAGAGGCTCTTCTCAGCAGCCCAAGCTACAGTGTGACTCAGATGATAAAAACGGCCACATCCCCATCTTCTTCACCTATGCTGGATAGACACACATCCCAACAAATTACAACGGCACCATCAACAAATCATTCAACAATACATTCCACAAGCACCTCTCCTCAGGAATCACCAGCTGTTTCCCAAAGGGGTCACACTCAAGCCCCGCAGACCACACAAGAATCACAAACCACGAGGTCCGTCTCCCCCATGACTGACACCAAGACAGTCACCACCCCAGGTTCTTCCTTCACAGCCAGTGGGCACTCGCCCTCAGAAATTGTTCCTCAGGACGCACCCACCATAAGTGCAGCAACAACCTTTGCCCCAGCTCCCACCGGGGATGGTCACACAACCCAGGCCCCGACCACAGCACTGCAGGCAGCACCCAGCAGCCATGATGCCACCCTGGGGCCCTCAGGAGGCACGTCACTTTCCAAAACAGGTGCCCTTACTCTGGCCAACTCTGTAGTGTCAACACCAGGGGGCCCAGAAGGACAATGGACATCAGCCTCTGCCAGCACCTCACCTGACACAGCAGCAGCCATGACCCATACCCACCAGGCTGAGAGCACAGAGGCCTCTGGACAAACACAGACCAGCGAACCGGCCTCCTCAGGGTCACGAACCACCTCAGCGGGCACAGCTACCCCTTCCTCATCCGGGGCGAGTGGCACAACACCTTCAGGAAGCGAAGGAATATCCACCTCAGGAGAGACGACAAGGTTTTCATCAAACCCCTCCAGGGACAGTCACACAACCCAGTCAACAACCGAATTGCTGTCCGCCTCAGCCAGTCATGGTGCCATCCCAGTAAGCACAGGAATGGCGTCTTCGATCGTCCCCGGCACCTTTCATCCCACCCTCTCTGAGGCCTCCACTGCAGGGAGACCGACAGGACAGTCAAGCCCAACTTCTCCCAGTGCCTCTCCTCAGGAGACAGCCGCCATTTCCCGGATGGCCCAGACTCAGAGGACAAGAACCAGCAGAGGGTCTGACACTATCAGCCTGGCGTCCCAGGCAACCGACACCTTCTCAACAGTCCCACCCACACCTCCATCGATCACATCCACTGGGCTTACATCTCCACAAACCGAGACCCACACTCTGTCACCTTCAGGGTCTGGTAAAACCTTCACCACGGCCCTCATCAGCAACGCCACCCCTCTTCCTGTCACCTACGCTTCCTCGGCATCCACAGGTCACACCACCCCTCTTCATGTCACCGATGCTTCCTCAGTATCCACAGGTCACGCCACCCCTCTTCCTGTCACCAGCCCTTCCTCAGTATCCACAGGTCACACCACCCCTCTTCCTGTCACCGACACTTCCTCAGAATCCACAGGTCACGTCACCCCTCTTCCTGTCACCAGCTTTTCCTCAGCATCCACAGGTGACAGCACCCCTCTTCCTGTCACTGACACTTCCTCAGCATCCACAGGTCACGTCACCCCTCTTCCTGTCACCAGCCTTTCCTCAGCATCCACAGGTGACACCACCCCTCTTCCTGTCACTGACACTTCCTCAGCATCCACAGGTCACGCCACCTCTCTTCCTGTCACCGACACTTCCTCAGTATCCACAGGTCACACCACCCCTCTTCCTGTCACCGACACTTCCTCAGCATCCACAGGTCACGCCACCTCTCTTCCTGTCACCGACACTTCCTCAGTATCCACAGGTCACACCACCCCTCTTCATGTCACTGATGCTTCCTCAGCATCCACAGGTCAGGCCACCCCTCTTCCTGTCACCAGCCTTTCCTCAGTATCCACAGGTGACACCACGCCTCTTCCTGTCACTAGCCCTTCCTCAGCATCCACAGGTCACGCCACCCCTCTTCTTGTCACCGACACTTCCTCAGCATCCACAGGACACGCCACCCCTCTTCCTGTCACCGACGCTTCCTCAGTGTCCACAGATCACGCCACCTCTCTTCCTGTAACCATCCCTTCCGCAGCATCCACAGGTCACACCACCCCTCTTCCTGTCACCGACACTTCCTCAGCATCCACAGGTCAGGCCACCTCTCTTCTTGTCACCGACACTTCCTCAGTATCCACAGGTGACACCACGCCTCTTCCTGTCACTAGCACTTCCTCAGCATCCACAGGTCACGTCACTCCTCTTCATGTCACCAGCCCTTCCTCAGCATCCACAGGTCACGCCACCCCTCTTCCTGTCACCAGCCTTTCCTCAGCATCCACAGGTGACACCATGCCTCTTCCTGTCACTAGCCCTTCCTCAGCATCCACAGGTGACACCACCCCTCTTCCTGTCACCGACGCTTCCTCAGTATCCACAGGTCACACCACCCCTCTTCATGTCACTGATGCTTCCTCAGCATCCACAGGTCAGGCCACCCCTCTTCCTGTCACCAGCCTTTCCTCAGTATCCACAGGTGACACCACGCCTCTTCCTGTCACTAGCCCTTCCTCAGCATCCACAGGTCACGCCACCCCTCTTCTTGTCACCGACACTTCCTCAGCATCCACAGGACACGCCACCCCTCTTCCTGTCACCGACGCTTCCTCAGTGTCCACAGATCACGCCACCTCTCTTCCTGTAACCATCCCTTCCGCAGCATCCACAGGTCACACCACCCCTCTTCCTGTCACCGACACTTCCTCAGCATCCACAGGTCAGGCCACCTCTCTTCTTGTCACCGACACTTCCTCAGTATCCACAGGTGACACCACGCCTCTTCCTGTCACTAGCACTTCCTCAGCATCCACAGGTCACGTCACTCCTCTTCATGTCACCAGCCCTTCCTCAGCATCCACAGGTCACGCCACCCCTCTTCCTGTCACCAGCCTTTCCTCAGCATCCACAGGTGACACCATGCCTCTTCCTGTCACTAGCCCTTCCTCAGCATCCACAGGTGACACCACCCCTCTTCCTGTCACCGACGCTTCCTCAGTATCCACAGGTCACACCACCCCTCTTCCTGTCACCAGCCCTTCCTCAGCATCTACAGGTCACACCACCCCTCTTCCTGTCACCGACACTTCCTCAGCATCCAAAGGTGACACCACCCCTCTTCCTGTCACCAGCCCTTCCTCAGCATCTACAGGTCACACCACCCCTCTTCCTGTCACCGACACTTCCTCAGCATCCACAGGTGACACCACCCCTCTTCCTGTCACCAATGCTTCCTCATTATCCACAGGTCACGCCACCCCTCTTCATGTCACCAGCCCTTCCTCAGCATCCACAGGTCACGCCACCCCTCTTCCTGTCACCAGCACTTCCTCAGCATCCACCGGTCACGCCACCCCTCTTCCTGTCACCGGCCTTTCCTCAGCTACCACAGATGACACCACCCGTCTTCCTGTCACCGACGTTTCCTCGGCATCCACAGGTCAGGCCACCCCTCTTCCTGTCACCAGCCTTTCCTCAGTATCCACAGGTGACACCACGCCTCTTCCTGTCACTAGCCCTTCCTCAGCATCCACAGGTCACGCCAGCCCTCTTCTTGTCACTGACGCTTCCTCAGCATCCACAGGTCAGGCCACCCCTCTTCCTGTCACCGACACTTCCTCAGTATCCACAGCTCACGCCACCCCACTTCCTGTCACCGGCCTTTCTTCAGCTTCCACAGATGACACCACCCGTCTTCCTGTCACCGACGTTTCCTCGGCATCCACAGGTCAGGCCATCCCTCTTCCTGTCACCAGCCCTTCCTCAGCATCCACAGGTGACACCACCCCTCTTCCTGTCACCGACGCTTCCTCAGCATCCACAGGTGACACCACCTCTCTTCCTGTCACCATCCCTTCCTCAGCATCTTCAGGTCACACCACCTCTCTTCCTGTCACCGACGCTTCCTCAGTGTCCACAGGTCACGCCACCTCTCTTCTTGTCACCGACGCTTCCTCAGTATCCACAGGTGACACCACCCCTCTTCCTGTCACCGACACTAACTCAGCATCCACAGGTGACACCACCCCTCTTCATGTCACCGACGCTTCCTCAGTATCCACAGGTCACGCCACCTCTCTTCCTGTCACCAGCCTTTCCTCAGCATCCACAGGTGACACCACGCCTCTTCCTGTCACTAGCCCTTCCTCAGCATCCTCAGGTCACACCACCCCTCTTCCTGTCACCGACGCTTCCTCAGTACCCACAGGTCACGCCACCTCTCTTCCTGTCACCGACGCTTCCTCAGTGTCCACAGGTCACGCCACCCCTCTTCCTGTCACCGACGCTTCCTCAGTGTCCACAGGTCATGCCACCCCTCTTCCGGTCACCGACACTTCCTCAGTATCTACAGGACAGGCCACCCCTCTTCCTGTCACCAGCCTTTCCTCAGCATCCACTGGTGACACCACGCCGCTTCCTGTCACCGATACTTCCTCAGCATCCACAGGTCAGGACACCCCTCTTCCTGTCACCAGCCTTTCCTCAGTATCCACAGGTGACACCACGCCTCTTCCTGTCACTAACCCTTCCTCAGCATCCACAGGTCACGCCACCCCTCTTCTTGTCACCGACGCTTCCTCAATATCCACAGGTCACGCCACCTCTCTTCTTGTCACCGACGCTTCCTCAGTATCCACAGGTCACGCCACCGCTCTTCATGACACCGATGCTTCCTCATTATCCACAGGGGACACCACCCCTCTTCCTGTCACCAGCCCTTCCTCAACATCCACAGGTGACACCACCCCTCTTCCTGTCACCGAAACTTCCTCAGTATCCACAGGTCACGCCACCTCTCTTCCTGTCACCGACACTTCCTCAGCATCCACAGGTCACGCCACCTCTCTTCCTGTCACCGACACTTCCTCAGCATCCACAGGTCACGCCACCCCTCTTCCTGTCACCGACACTTCCTCAGCATCCACAGGTCAGGCCACCCCTCTTCCTGTCACCAGCCCTTCCTCAGCATCCACAGGTCACGCCATCCCTCTTCTTGTCACCGACACTTCCTCAGCATCCACAGGACAGGCCACCCCTCTTCCTGTCACCAGCCTTTCCTCAGCATCCACAGGTGACACCACCCCTCTTCCTGTCACCGACGCTTCCTCAGTGTCCACAGGTCACGCCACCTCTCTTCCTGTCACCAGCCTTTCCTCAGTATCCACAGGTGACACCACTCCTCTTCCTGTCACTAGCCCTTCCTCAGCATCCACAGGTCACGCCACCCCTCTTCATGTCACCGACGCTTCCTCAGCATCCACAGGTCACGCCACCCCTCTTCCTGTCACCAGCCTTTCCTCAGCATCCACAGGTGACACCACGCCTCTTCCTGTCACTAGCCCTTCCTCAGCATCCACAGGTCACGCCACCCCTCTTCATGTCACCGACGCTTCCTCAGTATCCACAGGTGACACCACCCCTCTTCCTGTCACCAGCTCTTCCTCAGCATCCTCAGGTCACACCACCCCTCTTCCTGTCACCGACGCTTCCTCAGCATCCACAGGTGACACCACCCCTCTTCCTGTCACCGACACTTCCTCAGCATCCACAGGTCACGCCACCCATCTTCCTGTCACCGGCCTTTCCTCAGCTTCCACAGGTGACACCACCCGTCTTCCTGTCACCAACGTTTCCTCGGCATCCACAGGTCATGCCACCCCTCTTCCTGTCACCAGCACTTCCTCAGCATCCACAGGTGACACCACCCCTCTTCCTGGCACCGACACTTCCTCAGTATCCACAGGTCACACCACCCCTCTTCTTGTCACCGACGCTTCGTCAGTATCCACAGGTGACACCACCCGTCTTCCTGTCACCAGCCCTTCCTCAGCATCTACAGGTCACACCACCCCTCTACCTGTCACCGACACTCCCTCAGCATCCACAGGTGACACCACCCCTCTTCCTGTCACCAATGCTTCCTCATTATCCACACGTCACGCCACCTCTCTTCATGTCACCAGCCCTTCCTCAGCATCCACAGGTCACGCCACCTCTCTTCCTGTCACCGACACTTCCGCAGCATCCACAGGTCACGCCACCCCTCTTCCTGTCACCAGCACTTCCTCAGCATCCACAGGTGACACCACCCCTCTTCCTGTCACCGACACTTACTCAGCATCCACAGGTCAGGCCACCCCTCTTCCTGTCACCAGCCTTTCCTCAGTATCCACAGGTGACACCACGCCTCTTCCTGTCACTAGCCCTTCCTCAGCATCCACAGGTCACGCCACTCCTCTTCTTGTCACCGACGCTTCCTCAGCATCCACAGGTCAGGCCACCCCTCTTCCTGTCACCAGCCTTTCCTCAGTATCCACAGGTGACACCACGCCTCTTCCTGTCACTAGCCCTTCCTCAGCATCCACCGGTCATGCCACCTCTCTTCCTGTCACCGACACTTCCTCAGCATCCACAGGTGACACCACCTCTCTTCCTGTCACCGACACTTCCTCAGCATACACAGGTGACACCACCTCTCTTCCTGTCACCGACACTTCCTCATCATCCACAGGTGACACCACCCCTCTTCTTGTCACCGAGACTTCCTCAGTATCCACAGGTGACACCACCCCTCTTCCTGTCACCGACACTTCCTCAGCATCCACAGGTCACGCCACCCCTCTTCCTGTCACCAACACTTCCTCAGTATCCACAGGTCACGCCACCCCTCTTCATGTCACCAGCCCTTCCTCAGCATCCACAGGTCACACCACCCCTCTTCCTGTCACCGACGCTTCGTCAGTGTCCACAGGTCACGCCACCTCTCTTCCTGTCACCGACGCTTCCTCAGTGTTCACAGGTCATGCCACCTCTCTTCCTGTCACCATCCCTTCCTCAGCATCCTCAGGTCACACCACCCCTCTTCCTGTCACCGACGCTTCCTCAGTGTCCACAGGTCACGCCACCTCTCTTCCTGTCACCGACGCTTCCTCAGTGTCCACAGGTCATGCCACCCCTCTTCCTGTCACCGACGCTTCCTCAGTGTCCACAGGTCACGCTACCCCTCTTCCTCTCACCAGCCTTTCCTCAGTATCCACAGGTGACACCACGCCTCTTCCTGTCACCGACACTTCCTCAGCATCCACAGGTCAGGCCACCCCTCTTCCTGTCACCAGCCTTTCCTCAGTATCCACAGGTGACACCACCCCTCTTCCTGTCACCGACACTTCCTCAGCATCCACAGGTCACGCCACCTCTCTTCCTGTCACCGACACTTCCTCAGCATCCACAGGTCACGCCACCCCTCTTCCTGACACCGACACTTCCTCAGCATCCACAGGTCACGCCACCCTTCTTCCTGTCACCGACACTTCCTCAGCATCCATAGGTCACGCCACCTCTCTTCCTGTCACCGACACTTCCTCAATATCCACAGGTCACGCCACCCCTCTTCATGTCACCAGCCCTTCCTCAGCATCCACCGGTCACGCCACCCCGCTTCCTGTCACCGACACTTCCTCAGCATCCACAGGTCACGCCAACCCTCTTCATGTCACCAGCCCTTCCTCAGCATCCACCGGTCACGCCACCCCGCTTCCTGTCACCGACACTTCCTCAGCATCCACAGGTCACGCCACCCCTCTTCCTGTCACCAGCCTTTCCTCAGTATCCACAGGTGACACCACGCCTCTTCCTGTCACTAGCCCTTCCTCAGCATCCACAGGTCACACCACCCCTCTTCCTGTCACCGACACTTCCTCAGCATCCACAGGTCAGGCCACCGCTCTTCCTGTCACCAGCACTTCCTCAGCATCCACAGGTGACACCACCCCTCTTCCTGTCACCGACACTTCCTCAGCATCCACAGGTCAGGCCACCCCTCTTCCTGTCACCAGCCTTTCCTCAGTATCCACAGGTGACACCACGCCTCTTCCTGTCACTAGCCCTTCCTCAGCATCCACAGGTCACGCCACTCCTCTTCTTGTCACCGACGCTTCCTCAGCATCCACAGGTCAGGCCACCCCTCTTCCTGTCACCAGCCTTTCCTCAGTATCCACAGGTGACACCACGCCTCTTCCTGTCACTAGCCCTTCCTCAGCATCCACCGGTCATGCCACCTCTCTTCCTGTCACCGACACTTCCTCAGCATCCACAGGTGACACCACCTCTCTTCCTGTCACCGACACTTCCTCAGCATACACAGGTGACACCACCTCTCTTCCTGTCACCGACACTTCCTCATCATCCACAGGTGACACCACCCCTCTTCTTGTCACCGAGACTTCCTCAGTATCCACAGGTCACGCCACTCCTCTTCTTGTCACCGACGCTTCCTCAGCATCCACAGGTCACGCCACCCCTCTTCATGTCACCAGCCCTTCCTCAGCATCCACAGGTGACACCACCCCTGTGCCTGTCACCGACACTTCCTCAGTATCCACAGGTCACGCCACCCCTCTTCCTGTCACCGGCCTTTCCTCAGCTTCCACAGGTGACACCACCCGTCTTCCTGTCACCGACATTTCCTCGGCATCCACAGGTCAGGCCACCCCTCTTCCTGTCACCAACACTTCCTCAGTATCCACAGGTGACACCATGCCTCTTCCTGTCACTAGCCCTTCCTCAGCATCCACAGGTCACGCCACCCCTCTTCCTGTCACCAGCACTTCCTCAGCATCCACCGGTCACGCCACCCCTGTTCCTGTCACCAGCACTTCCTCAGCATCTACAGGTCACACCACCCCTCTTCCTGTCACCGACACTTCCTCAGCATCCACAGGTGACACCACCCCTCTTCCTGTCACCAGCCCTTCCTCAGCATCTACAGGTCACACCACCCCTCTTCATGTCACCATCCCTTCCTCAGCATCCACAGGTGACACCAGCACTCTTCCTGTCACCGGCGCTTCCTCAGCATCCACCGGTCACGCCACCCCTCTTCCTGTCACCGACACTTCCTCAGTATCCACCGGTCACGCCACGCCTCTTCCTGTCACCAGCCTTTCCTCAGTATCCACAGGTGACACCACCCCTCTTCCTGTCACCGACGCTTCCTCGGCATCCACAGGTCAGGCCACCCCTCTTCCTGTCACCAGCCTTTCCTCAGTATCCACAGGTGACACCACCCCTCTTCTTGTCACCGACGCTTCCTCAGTATCCACAGGTCACGCCACCCCTCTTCCTGTCACCGACACTTCCTCAGCATCCACAGGTGACACCACCCGTCTTCCTGTCACGGACACTTCCTCAGCATCCACAGGTCAGGCCACCCCTCTTCCTGTCACCAGCCTTTCCTCAGTATCCACAGGTGACACCACCCCTCTTCTTGTCACCGACGCTTCCTCAGTATCCACAGGTCACGCCACCCCTCTTCCTGTCACCGACACTTCCTCAGCATCCACAGGTGACACCACCCGTCTTCCTGTCACGGACACTTCCTCAGCATCCACAGGTCAGGCCACCCCTCTTCCTGTCACCATCCCTTCCTCATCATCCTCAGGTCACACCACCCCTCTTCCTGTCACCAGCACTTCCTCAGTATCTACAGGTCACGTCACCCCTCTTCATGTCACCAGCCCTTCCTCAGCATCCACAGGTCACGTCACCCCTCTTCCTGTCACCAGCACTTCCTCAGCATCCACAGGTCACGCCACCCCTCTTCTTGTCACCGACGCTTCCTCAGTGTCCACAGGTCACGCCACGCCTCTTCCTGTCACCGACGCTTCCTCAGCATCCACAGGTGACACCACCCCTCTTCCTGTCACCGACACTTCCTCAGCATCCACAGGTCAGGCCACCCCTCTTCCTGTCACCAGCCTTTCCTCAGTATCCACAGGTGACACCACCCCTCTTCCTGTCACCGACGCTTCCTCAGCATCCACAGGTCACGCCACCCCTCTTCCTGTCACCATCCCTTCCTCAGTATCCACAGGTGACACCATGCCTCTTCCTGTCACTAGCCCTTCCTCAGCATCCACAGGTCACGCCACCCCTCTTCCTGTTACCGGCCTTTCCTCAGCTTCCACAGGTGACACCACCCCTCTTCCTGTCACCGACACTTCCTCAGCATCCACACGTCACGCCACCCCTCTTCCTGTCACCGACACTTCCTCAGCTTCCACAGATGACACCACCCGTCTTCCTGTCACCGACGTTTCCTCGGCATCCACAGGACATGCCACCCCTCTTCCTGTCACCAGCACTTCCTCAGCATCCACAGGTGACACCACCCCTCTTCCTGTCACCGACACTTCCTCAGTATCCACAGGTCACGCCACCTCTCTTCCTGTCACCAGCCGTTCCTCAGCATCCACAGGTCACGCCACCCCCCTTCCTGTCACCGACACTTCCTCAGTATCCACAGGTCACGCCACCCCTCTTCCTGTCACCAGCACTTCCTCAGTATCTACAGGTCACGCCACCCCTCTTCCTGTCACCAGCCCTTCCTCAGCATCCACAGGTCACGCCACCCCTGTTCCTGTCACCAGCACTTCCTCAGCATCCACAGGTGACACCACCCCTCTTCCTGTCACCAATGCTTCCTCATTATCCACAGGTCACGCCACCCCTCTTCATGTCACCAGCCCTTCCTCAGCATCCAGAGGTGACACCAGCACTCTTCCTGTCACCGATGCTTCCTCAGCATCCACCGGTCACGCCACCCCTCTTCCTCTCACCAGCCTTTCCTCAGTATCCACAGGTGACACCACGCCTCTTCCTGTCACCGACACTTCCTCTGCATCCACAGGTCAGGCCACCCCTCTTCCTGTCACCAGCCTTTCCTCAGTATCCACAGGTGACACCACGCCTCTTCCTGTCACCATCCCTTCCTCAGCATCCTCAGGTCACACCACCTCTCTTCCTGTCACCGACGCTTCCTCAGTGTCCACAGGTCACGGCACCCCTCTTCCTGTCACCAGCACTTCCTCAGCATCCACAGGTGACACCACCCCTCTTCCTGTCACCGACACTTCCTCAGCATCCACAGGTCACGCCACCCCTCTTCCTGTCACCGACACTTCCTCAGCATCCACAGGTCACGCCACCCCTCTTCCTGTCACCAGCCTTTCCTCAGTATCCACAGGTCACGCCACCCCTCTTGCTGTCAGCAGTGCTACCTCAGCTTCCACAGTATCCTCGGACTCCCCTCTGAAGATGGAAACACCAGGTAGCTGCCAACTGCCTCGCCTTTATGTCTCCCAGTGGGCCCCTTGGCGGAATTCAGCCTAAGGAGTACCTGAGAACACTGGTGCATTCGCATTACCTGGTGGGGCCGTGTCAGGTCCCACAGGGGAGGAGGTGATGGGTGTGGTGGGTGACAGGCTCACCCTCCTTTGTGCCGCAATCGAAAAGCACTGATGTCGAGAGTAGTTTGGATATGAGCAGGGGAGAGACAAGGAGTTTCCAGCTCCCTCTTCCAGCTCCTGATTTCTTTGAATCTCTTTGACTCTCCTGTTTTGTTACTGTAAGAAACACCCCGCCTTGTCTTTTCACGTGTCCAGGAATGACAACACCGTCACTGAAGACAGACGGTGGGAGACGCACAGCCACATCACCACCCCCCACAACCTCCCAGACCATCATTTCCACCATTCCCAGCACTGCCATGCACACCCGCTCCACAGCTGCCCCCATCCCCATCCTGCCTGAGAGAGGTGAGGCCATACAGGTGAGGCCTGTGCCTTTTGAGGGGTGATGTAACTGAAGGCTCCCTCTCAGCCTACTTCCCACAGTCTCCGCTCTCTCGGGTGGGGAGGGCCTTACCGAGGACAGGGACACAGCATCGGAGTCGCTCCTGAGGGCTGGCTTTGTGCATGGCACTGGGCCAGGAGCTGGAGACAGAGAAATGACCCCAGTGCCATTCAGCAAGGGATAGATGGACGGTCCGGTAGCGGCGGTTAGAGGACTCATCCCAGGGTCTAAGTGCACACAATGGAAGGCCCTAAGGAATGCAGAGCCGGGGATGGAGGAGCACCCCAGGCAGGGAGGAGGGCGGGAACAGCTGGAACAAAGGTGTGGAAGGTATGGGTGTGGAAGGTATGGGTGTGGAAGGTATGGCTGTGGAAGGTATGGGTGTGGAAGGTATGGGTGTGGAAGGTATGGGTGTGGAAGGTATGGATGTGGAAGGTATGGGTGTGGAAGGTATGGGTGTGGAAGGTATGGGTGTGGAAGGTATGGGTGTGGAAGGTATGGGTGTGGAAGGTAAGGGTGTGGAAGGTATGGGTGTGGAAGGTATGGGTGTGGAAGGTATGGGTGTGGAAGGTATGGATGTGGAAGGTATGGGTGTGGAAGGTATGGGTGTGGAAGGTATGACTGTGGAAGGTATGGGTGTGGAAGGTATGGGTGTGGAAGGTATGGGTGTGGAAGGTATGGGTGTGGAAGGTATGGGTGTGGAAGGTATGGGTGTGGAAGGTATGACTGTGGAAGGTATGGGTGTGGAAGGTATGACTGTGGAAGGTATGGGTGTGGAAGGTAAGGGTGTGGAAGGTATGGGTGTGGAAGGTATGGGTGTGGAAGGTATGGGTGTGGAAGGTATGGGTGTGGAAGGTAAGGGTGTGGAAGGTATGGGTGTGGAAGGTATGGGTGTGGAAGGTATGGGTGTGGAAGGTAAGGGTGTGGAAGGTATGGGTGTGGAAGGTATGGGTGTGGAAGGTATGGGTGTGGAAGGTATGGATGTGGAAGGTATGGGTGTGGAAGGTATGGGTGTGGAAGGTATGACTGTGGAAGGTATGGGTGTGGAAGGTATGACTGTGGAAGGTATGGGTGTGGAAGGTATGGGTGTGGAAGGTATGGGTGTGGAAGGTATGGATGTGGAAGGTATGGGTGTGGAAGGTATGGGTGTGGAAGGTATGACTGTGGAAGGTATGGGTGTGGAAGGTATGACTGTGGAAGGTATGGGTGTGGAAGGTATGGGTGTGGAAGGTATGGGTGTGGAAGGTATGGGTGTGGAAGGTATGGATGTGGAAGGTATGGGTGTGGAAGGTATGGGTGTGGAAGGTATGACTGTGGAAGGTATGGGTGTGGAAGGTATGACTGTGGAAGGTATGGGTGTGGAAGGTAAGGGTGTGGAAGGTATGGGTGTGGAAGGTATGGGTGTGGAAGGTATGGGTGTGGAAGGTATGACTGTGGAAGGTATGGCCGTGGAAGGTATGGGTGTGGAAGGTATGGGTGTGGAAGGTATGGGTGTGGAAGGTATGGGTGTGGAAGGTATGGGTGTGGAAGGTATGGGTGTGGAAGGTATGACTGTGGAAGGTATGGGTGTGGAAGGTAAGGGTGTGGAAGGTATGGGTGTGGAAGGTATGGGTGTGGAAGGTATGACTGTGGAAGGTATGGGTGTGGAAGGTATGGGTGTGGAAGGTATGGGTGTGGAAGGTATGGGTGTGGAAGGTATGGGTGCGGAAGGTATGGGTGTGGAAGGTATGGGTGCGGAAGGTATGGGTGTGGAAGGTATGGGTGTGGAAGGTATGGATGCGGAAGGTATGGGTGTGGAAGGTATGGGTGCGGAAGGTATGGGTGCGGAAGGTATGGGTGTGGAAGGTATGGGTGTGGAAGGTATGGGTGTGGAAGGTATGGGTGTGGAAGGTATGGCTGTGGAAGGTATGGGTGTGGAAGGTATGGGTGTGGAAGGTATGACTGTGGAAGGTATGGGTGTGGAAGGTATGGGTGTGGAAGGTATGGGTGTGGAAGGTATGGGTGTGGAAGGTATGGGTGTGGAAGGTATGGGTGTGGAAGGTATGGATGTGGAAGGTATGGGTGTGGAAGGTATGGGTGTGGAAGGTATGACTGTGGAAGGTATGGGTGTGGAAGGTATGGCTGTGGAAGGTATGGGTGTGGAAGGTAAGGGTGTGGAAGGTATGGGTGTGGAAGGTATGGGTGTGGAAGGTAAGGGTGTGGAAGGTATGGGTGTGGAAGTTATGGCCGTGGAAGGTATGGATGTGGAAGGTATGGGTGTGGAAGGTATGACTGTGGAAGGTATGGATGTGGAAGGTATGGGTGTGGAAGGTATGGGTGTGGAAGGTATGACTGTGGAAGGTATGGGTGTGGAAGGTATGGGTGTGGAAGGTATGGGTGTGGAAGGTATGGGTGTGGAAGGTATGGCCGTGGAAGGTATGGGTGTGGAAGGTATGACCGTGGAAGGTATGGCCGTGGAAGGTATGGGTGTGGAAGGTAAGGGTGTGGAAGGTATGGGTGTGGAAGGTATGGGTGTGGAAGGTAAGGGTGTGGAAGGTATGGATGTGGAAGGTATGGGTGTGGAAGGTATGGGTGTGGAAGGTATCGGTGTGGAAGGTATGGGTGTGGAAGGTATGACTGTGGAAGGTATGGGTGTGGAAGGTATGACTGTGGAAGGTATGGGTGTGGAAGGTATGGGTGTGGAAGGTATGGGTGTGGAAGGTATGGGTGTGGAAGGTATGACTGTGGAAGGTATGGGTGTGGAAGGTATGGGTGTGGAAGGTATGGCTGTGGAAGGTATGGGTGTGGAAGGTATGACTGTGGAAGGTATGGGTGTGGAAGGTATGGGTGTGGAAGGTATGGGTGTGGAAGGTATGGGTGTGGAAGGTATGGGTGTGGAAGGTACGAGTGTGGTAGGTATGGCTGCAGAAAGTCGTCCCGGTGCTGCATGGGGGTGGATCCCCGAAGCATTTGGGGTGGCTGAAAATGAGAAGAAGGGTAGCAAAAAGTGCGGCCGGCATGCGGGGAATCCTGTAGGCAACGGGAGCCAGGGAGGACTCAGTTTTGCATTGTACAAATGGCATTTAACAAGTGGTGCCTGGAGCGGTCCGATTTGCAGGCAGTGAGGAGGCCAGGAGAGCCTGCGGGTTTCCAAGCAGGACCAGGGGAGGGCGCCAAGGAGTCGGCAGCTGCGAGAAATATTTGGGACAAGGTTTCTCAAACTGGAGCCCGAGGGCCTCTAGGGAGTCCTAGGTTAAATTGGAGGAGTCTTCAAGTTTATCTGGAGAAAGGCCGTCTTAGGAAACAAGTCTCATTCCCTGAAAAGGGCTTTGCAGTTACTCATCTTCATTGCGCTGGACTTTTGTCTATTTTTTTTTTTTTTTTTGAGATGGAGTTTTCGCTCTTGTTGCCCAGGCTGGAGTGCAGTGGCGCGATCTCAGCTCACTGGAACCTCAGCCTCCCGGGTTCAAGCAATTCTCCTGCCTCAGCCTCCCGAGTGGCTGGGATTACAGGCATGCGCCACCACACCCGGCTAATTTTTGTATTTTAAGTAGAGACAGGGCTTCTCCATGTTGGTCAGGCTGGTCTCGAACTCCTGACCTCGTGATCCTCCCGCCTCAGCCTCCCAAAGTGCTGGGATTACAGGCGTGAGCCACCGCACCCAGCATAGACTTTTGTCTTTTAACCCTGAAAAGGATTGAGACTAAGAGATTGAGAATCGTTTGCTGGTATTCTGACAGCAGGACCTGTTTTTCTCCAAGCTGGGGAAGGATGAGAGGCGCAGTTTAGGGAGTAAAATGACCACATGCATTTAATGTGGGTGGAGAGGGAGCGAGAAGCACCCTAGATGGCTGCCTCTGGGGCCCTCGGGGAACACAGGACAGGTGTGGGCAGCCTGCAGGGAGCGCTCTGGGATCCCTTTCAGCCCTAAAGAAGGCCCAGGCCCACTTGGACTTCCTGCTCTTCTCTGTCCTGGCCCAGGAGTTTCCCTCTTCCCCTATGGGGCAGGCGCCGGGGACCTGGAGTTCGTCAGGAGGACCGTGGACTTCACCTCCCCACTCTTCAAGCCGGCGACTGGCTTCCCCCTTGGCTCCTCTCTCCGTGATTCCCTCTACGTGAGTCCGGGCTGCGGCCCGCGCAGCCTGAACTCCCAGGGCCCACTTCTCTCTCCTGCTTCGAGACGGAACCCAGAGGAAGCGGGAATGGAAGCAGCCTTGGCTGGGCCCCTCGTCCATCCCCACAGCCTCCTTAATGTCAGGCCTCTGCCTGAGGAACACAGGGTGCCAGGCGAGGGCTGCCCACCTGCTGGGCCCACCGCTGCTTCTGCGGGGCCTTCTCAGGAGTAAAAAGCTACACTTGGGAAACTGGACTGTTCCTGCCGTTTCCACCTTCTGGGATTTGTCTCTGGCCCCCTGGTCCCTGCCTCCTGGAGCAGAGTTGGAGGGACAGTCCTGGCTCCTGTGGCCCTGAGGGAGGAGGCTGAGTCCGAACACAGCATGAGAGGGCGACTGAGCGATGGAGAGGGTGTCCACACCTGCTGAGCGATAGAGAGAGGGTGTCCACACCTGCTGAGCGATGGCGAGAGGGTGTCCACACCTGCTGAGCGATGGCGAGAGGGTGTCCACACCTGCTGAGCGATGGCGAGAGGGTGTCCACACCTGCTGAGCGATAGAGAGAGGGTGTCCACACCTGCTGAGCGATGGCGAGAGGGTGTCCACACCTGCTGAGCGATAGAGAGAGGGTGTCCACACCTGCTGAGCGATGGAGAGAGGGTGTCCACACCTGCTGAGTGATAGAGAGAGGGTGTCCACACCTGCTGAGCGATGGAGAGAGGGTGTCCACACCTGCTGAGTGAGAGAGAGGTTTCCACCCCCTAAGTGATGGAGATGGGGTGTCTGCACCCCTGAGTGATGGAGAGAGGGTGTCTACACCCCTGAGCGATGGAGGGGGGTGCCTACACCTGCTGAGCGATAGAGAGAGGTTTCCACCCCCTAAGTGATGGAGATGGGGTGTCTGCACCCCTGAGCGATGGAGAGAGGGTATCTACACCTGCTGAGTGATAGAGAGAGGTTTCCACCCCCTAAGTGATGGAGATGGGGTGTCTGCACCCCTGAGCGATGGAGAGAGGGTGTCTACACCCCTGAGCGATGGAGAGGGGGTGTCTACACCCCTGAGCGATGGAGAGAGGATGTCTACACCCCGAACGATAGAGAGGGTGTCCACACCCCTGAGCGATGAAGGGAGGGTGTCTACACCCCTGAGCGATGGAGAGAGGGTGTCCACACCCCTGAGCGATGGAGAGAGGGTGTCTACACCCCTGAGCGATGGAGAGAGGGTATCTACACCCCTGAGCGATGGAGAGAGGGTGTCTACACCCCTGAGCGATGAAGGGAGGGTGTCTATAGCCCTGAGCACCCCTGAGCGATGAAGGGAGGGTGTCTATACCCCTGAGCGATGGAGAGAGGGTGTCTACACCCCTGAGCGATGGAGAGGGGGTGTCTACACCCCTGAGCGATGGAGAGGGGGTGTCTACACCCCTGAGCGATGGAGAGAGGATGTCTACACCCCTGAGCGATGAAGGGAGGGTGTCTACACCCCTGAGGGATGGAGAGAGGGTGTCCACACCTGCTGAGTGATAGAGAGAGGTTTCCACCCCCTAAGTGATGGAGATGGGGTGTCTGCACCCCTGAGCGATGGAGAGAGGGTGTCTACACCCCTGAGCGGTGGAGAGAGGGTGTCTACACCCCTGAGCGATGAAGGGAGGGTGTCTACACCCCTGAGCGATGAAGGGAGGGTGTCTACACCCCTGAGCGATGGAGAGAGGGTGTCTACACCCCTGAGCGATGGAGGGAGGGTGTCTACACCCCTGAGCGATGAAGGGAGGGTGTCTACACCCCTGAGCGATGAAGGGAGGGTGTCTACACCCCTGAGCGATGGAGAGAGGGTGTCTACACCTGCTGAGCAATAGATAGAGGGTTCCACCCCCTAAGTGATGGAGATGGGGTGTCTGCACCCCTGAGCGATGGAGAGAGGGTGTCTACACCCCTGAGCGACGGAGGGAGGGCTCCACCCACTGAGCGATGGAGGGAGGGCTCCACCCCCTGAGCGATGGAGAGAGGGTTCCACTCCCTGAGCCCCACCTAATGTGTCGCAAACTTCAGGATGGGGCCCAGGGGACTGGCCAAGAGGGGTGTGCCTGTGAGGGGCTGGTCCACAGCCAGGGATCTGCAGTGAAACAGGACCAAGCCTACCACCCGAGGACGCAAGGGATGGCCTGAGGGCGGAGCATTCTGTGAGAATATATGGAAAGGGCTCTCCCCAAAACAGGACACAGGAGGTGACTTCCAGGGGTTGTTAGCATCTCTAAAGCTCTACCCTTGGGGGTCACGCTTTTGAGGAGCTGGACCAAGGCTGGGACTTTCCTCCCCACTTCCCTCCCTGAATGCTGACCACAAAACCCATGTGCTCAGTTCACAGACAATGGCCAGATCATCTTCCCAGAGTCAGACTACCAGATTTTCTCCTACCCCAACCCACTCCCAACAGGCTTCACAGGCCGGGACCCTGTGGCCCTGGTGGCTCCGTTCTGGGACGATGCTGACTTCTCCACTGGTCGGGGGACCACATTTTATCAGGTGAGCCTTTCAAAGCCTGGCAGTCAGGATCCCCCAGCAGCTGGCAGGGGAGACAAAGAGCTGTGTGGAAGGCTTTGCCAGAGTTGCTGCTGTGACAGCCCCTGCAGCAGGGGACTGAGGCTTAAATATGGGTGTGGGAGGAAGCAGTCAAGGGACATTAAGCTGACTCAGGAGTACCCCAACCCAACCACGAGACTGACCAGGAATACCCCAACCCAACCACGAGACTGACCAGGAATACCCCAACCCGGCCGCGAGACTGACCAGGAATACCCCAACCCAACCACGAGACTGACCAGGAATACCCCAACCCAACCACGAGACTGACCAGGAATACCCCAACCCAACCACGAGACTGACCAGGAATACCCCAACCCAACCACGAGACTGACCAGGAATACCCCAACCCAACCACGAGACTGACCAGGAATACACCAACCCAACCACGAGACTGACCAGGAATACCCCAACCCAACCACGAGACTGACCAGGAATACCCCAACCCGGCCGCGAGACTGACCAGGAATACCCCAACCCGGCCACGAGACTGACCAGGAATACCCCAACCCGGCCACGAGACTGACCAGGAATACCCCAACCCAACCACGAGACTGACCAGGAATACCCCAACCCAACCACGAGACTGACCAGGAATACCCCAACCCGGCCGCGAGACTGACCAGGAATACCCCAACCCGGCCACGAGAAGACCTACAGGTGACGGGGGATGGGGGCTGACAATTCAGCCTTTGATTGTAAAATCAGGCTGTAGGGGGTCTATCCTAACAAGAGTGAGTCAAGAGGGCCCGTCCTGTGCTCCTGGACTGGGTGAATAACTCCAATCAGAGGAAATGTGATGAAAGCTACTGCAGGAAGTGTGGACCGTGCCCCTGCCACGGACAGGGCAGTGTGGAGGCTCCAAGAGGAAGAGACTCACGCCTGTTCTCAAGAAGCTGCAGATTAGGCATGGGGAGGTAAAAGTGGGCCCGAGTGGCTCTGCTCTCTGGGCCAGTTTGAGCTAAGATGCTTGAGTTCAAGTCCAGAGGTCTTGGACGTCTGGGCCACGACCCTGCATTCTGCACACTGCAGGCCTTCCTGCAGCCCAAGTTTGAATTGAACTTCACCTCAGAAAAGCTCACGGCAAAAATGCAGGCCTGGGACAGGGGAGGGCAGGCCATTGGGTGGGCTGAAGTGGGCAGGGTCCTCAGGCAGAAAGTGGGGGGCCCATGTGTAGGAGTGGGACCCTCGTTGGCTTGTTTTCATCTGCCCTCCTTTCCTAGGAATACGAGACGTTCTATGGTGAACACAGCCTGCTAGTCCAGCAGGCCGAGTCTTGGATTAGAAAGATGACAAACAACGGGGGCTACAAGGCCAGGTGGGCCCTAAAGGTCACGTGGGTCAATGCCCACGCCTATCCTGCCCAGTGGACCCTCGGGGTGAGTAGACCCCTGGGCAGCTCCCAGGAGCTATCTGGGAGTCAGACATCCTAGAATCCTAGGCAGGGGCCACTCTTCCAAAATCCTCTCTGGCTCTAGGAAAGATTGCTAATTATAGCAAGCCCCCCCACCGCCACCCCCCCACTGCCACCACTGTTGGCTGAGCACTCACCGTGGGCCCGGCCTGTCTCGGCCCTTTGCCTACTTGACCTCACAGCAGCCCAGCAAACCGGGTATTATTAGGCTGAAACATAGCAAGTGGCATTTTTGTAAGTCAAAAATGTCTGGCTATTCACAATTTCACGTGGCTCAGTCTGGTATTATGCTCCCCATTTTACAGATGAGGAAGACAATGGTTAGAGAGGTTAAGTAACTCGTTCAGAGTCACGCCACTGGCAAATGGCAAAGCCAGGCCTGAGTGGAGCTTCTTCTGACTCCAGCCTCTGGCTCTGAAGCACAGGCTCATCCAACGGGCACAGGGTGCGCCACACCATCTCCTCTGTCCTCCCTCCGAGGACCCCGCTCTTGTAGTCACCAAGTTCTTCCTTATGCCTGGTCTAAAGTCACTCATTTCTTCATTCACTCGACAAAAGTTCACTGGTCACCTACTGTGGACAACGTGTGCGCCTTCAGTGAACCCCAGTGTCATCCATGCTGTTTAGATGGAGGAGACAATTTGGGCAATGTCCTTAAATATCCGCGCGGGAGCTAATGAAGCCTCCTCTCTAGCTCTCTGGTATCTTGGCTGATCTCAGGTTCTGGTAGCTTTCTCTAACAAACACTCATCTAACTGAATTGTAACCCAGAACCCTTTATCTCCCCTCCTGGAAGAAAGTCACCAAAAGGCAAATCCACCGTGGTAAGTGCGTTCGCACCCAGGGTGAAAGCTGCCCTCACTGACCCAAAACTTGCCAGCATTTTGGGCCCATGTCTTTGCTGTGGGCAGACCAGGAACAGGTGCTGTGCGTGTCAGAGCAGGGCTGTGGGACGGGCGGGGGGACATAAGAGAGGAGACCCCGGATCTCTCACGGGCATCCCTGTGTTTTCTTCCACCCACCCCCAGAGCAACACCTACCAAGCCATCCTCTCCACGGACGGGAGCAGGTCCTATGCCCTGTTTCTCTACCAGAGCGGTGGGATGCAGTGGGACGTGGCCCAGCGCTCAGGCAACCCGGTGCTCATGGGCTTCTCTAGGTAGGATGGGAGGGGCTGTCAGCACTGAGCAGTTGGCAGGGAGGGGTGTAGAGTCGGCTTTCGCTGCACACACACTCCCATCCTGGGGCAAGGCGGGAACCCTCCTGGCTGGTGCTTCTGACTCACGCTGACTCCAGCTCCCGCTGGGGCCAGGCATCTGGCTGCTTCCCACGACAAGATCACCCATTTGTCCGCCATGCCCTTTCCCATCCCAGTCCCCGTGAGTTGTAATCATTCCCAGAGCTTTGGCTTCCCTGATTTCCACTGACATTAGCTGGCCTCTCTTACCTTCTCAAATATCGTGATAATAACAGCCAAGACTGATGACACTAACACTTCGTGTACATTACTGCATGTCATGATCACAGCCACCCCACGAGGCAGATACTATTTATCATCCCCATTCTACAGATCAGGAAACTGAGATACAAATAGACTAGCAATTTGCCTAAAGTCCCAGAGCTGGGAAGTGGCAACATGGAGATTTGAACCCAGACATCTGAGGCTAGAATCTGCCTTCCTGACTTCCTGAGAATTACCCACTTATCCAGGGGGCACCCAAAAGCTTATATGGAGCCGGTGGTGAAGGGAGAGAGGAGGCACGGGGCTGTGGGCGGTTGAAATGTGGATTCCCGTGTGTGGGAGGCTGTCTCCGATGTAGCAGTGCGCCATCTCTGTTCCCATATGCTGGGGTGTGGCAATCAGTACGAAGGCCACATGTCTTTTGTTCTTGATAATTGCTGCAAATGTCTTCTCTTACATTGAGTGTGTTCAGGTTACCCCTTTGATTACACTGCTTTCACTAGTTTCTTGGTGTGCTATGAAGGAGAAAGGAGGGGAATTACCCAACTCTAGGAATTTCACACGGTCCAGGTACACCCAAGGAAGGTGTCACGCAGGGGTGCATCATCCTGCTTGTGTCAGGGAGGAGGAAAAGCCCAAGAGTCCCCACTCTGCAGCAGGCACCCAGGGTGGGGCTGCAGGCGGCTGCTCCAGGCTTTCCTCCTTCCCGGGCCATGCTCGGACCCCACACCTGGGGACGGTGATGGCGATAGTGGTGGTGGTGGTGGTGGTGGTGGTGGTAGTGGCGGTGGAGGTGGCAGTGGCGATGGTGATGGTGGTGATGGTGGTGGTGATGGTGGTGATGGTGGTGGTGTTGGGGGTGATGGTGGCGATGGTGGTGGTGGTGATGGTGGTGGTGGTGGTGATGGTGGTGATGATGGTGGTGGCAATGATGGTGGTGATGGTGGTGGTGGTGGTGATGGTGGTGGTGGCGATGGTGATGGTGGTGGTGATGGTGGTGGTGGCCGATGGTGGTATTTTTTGGGGGGTGGCCAGTGATGGTGGTGATGGTGATGGTGGTGGTGGTGGTGGTGGCGATGGTGGTGGTGATGGTGGTGATGGTGGTGGCAATGGTGATGATGGTGGTGGTGGTGATGGTGGTGGTGATGGTGGTGGCAATGGTAATGGTGATGGTGATGATGGTGGTGGCGATGGTGGTGGTGATGGTGATGGTGGTGGTGATGGTGATGGTGGTGGTGATGGTGATGGTGGTGGTAGTGTTGGTGGTGGTGGTGGTGATGGTGATGGTGATGGTAGTGTTGGTGGTGACGATGATGGTGGTGGTGGTGGTAGTGCTGGCGATGGTGGTGGTGGTGGTAGCAGCAGTGGCAGCATCTGTTGTATCAAGGCCTCACTCAGTTCTGAGGGATTTGCAGATGTTACTGCATTTAATCCTCACAATACAGTGAGGTAGATGCCACTGTAATCCCTTTTATACAGATGTGAAAACTAAGAATCAGAGAGGGTCAGTAACTTGTCTGTGGTCACCAAGCTAGTAAGTGGGGGGATCAGCAGTTGAATCCATCACTGCCTAACTCCAGAAACTGGGTCTTAACCATCACAATACACTGTCCCTAGAGTCTGTCCCGCTCCAAACCCTCTGCTTGTTGAAGGGAAACAAACAGAAATGAGGCCTGAACTCTGTTGTTTTCACGCCCCTGTCTCATGACCAAGCGGACCTGCCAGTTTCTTGCAGCTAGCGATCAGATGTGGAATCGGTTAGAGCCTCCTACCTCTGCCCAGCCATCTTGTCCCCTCTCCTGCTCAGTGCTGGGGCTTGACGATGGGGGCTGGCTGACCCACTGACCCACTGCCCGCCTAGCTGGTTGACCAGCTGCTGACCGGCTAGCGGGATGAATGGACGCCTTGCAACCGCGAGGCAAGAGCCTGTGCACGGCAGAGGCCTGAGAGTCTCTCCTTTCCTGCAGTGGAGATGGCTATTTCGAAAACAGCCCACTGATGTCCCAGCCAGTGTGGGAGAGGTATCGCCCTGATAGATTCCTGAATTCCAACTCAGGTAAAAGTGCCACCTTATCACACCTGAGCTGGTCTCAAGCCCTCGCGTGTCCTCCAGCCCATACACCATCGCAGTCCTAGAGGGCACCTCCCTAACATCACGGCCATCCTGAAGGGCCTCCCCCACACAGTTCAACCTCCTACAGGTCTAGGTGGGATGTGGCACCACCCAGGGAGCAGCTGGCACCTCCTGCACCCCTGGACACAGCACAGTCTCAGAGGGGGCTACATCTCCTCCCTCAGATGAACCAGCCCAAGAGGGCTCTCGGGGGGCCCAGATCCTGGAAGTGAGGACAGGGTCTTGTGGGAGGTGGGATTTGAATGGGCAGTTCAGACAATACTCCAAGTGTCCTGTCCAGAGCAGGAATGAGAACCCAGGTGAGATCCTTTAAGAAAATCTACCGGCTGGGCGCCATGGCTCACACCTGTAATCCCAGCATTTTGGGAGGCTGAGGTGGGCGGATCACTTGAGATCAGGAGTTCGAGACCAGCCTGGCCAACATGGTGAAATTCTGTCTCTACTAAAAATACAAAAATTAGCCAGACGTTGTGGTGCACACCTGTAATTCCAGCTACTCAATAGGTTGAGGCAGGAGAATTGTTTGAACCTGGGAGGTGGAGGTTGCAGCGAGCCGAGATCGCGCCACTGCACTCCAGCCTGGGTGACAGAGTGAGACTCCATCTCAAAAAGAGAGAATCCACCAAGAAGAGGCCCGGGGGTCTCACGTTCATTGTCATCATTTACTGGGCACCTGCCGTGTGCTGGACACCGTGCTAACAGCCAGAAACAAAGGAAAAAGACCAACTGTGTTTTCTCTCAAAGAGCTTTCATGCGGGTAGAAAGACAAGCGTCAAGAGGCAAACAATGGCGCCTTCTCCATGACTCAGTCCAGAGGCCCCAATGGGAAAGAAATAATAGTTTCCAAAATGTGATAGGTTGAAGGACATTTTAGCCTTAGAAACCAGCCACGTGAACTGTGAAGTGTAAATCCAGTTCTATTTGTTCTGTGGCAACCACGTTTGGTCGTCAGAAGCAGACGCTAAGTCAAGCGAGGGGCTTTGGGGGAGGAATTGTTGCCCATCTGACTTGGGTCCAAAGAGGTGAGAAGTGGCAGGAGGGGGTGCATTTGTGAGTTTTGGTTGACCCTAAAGCTGAGACAGGGCCTGCAGCCCCAGCCCTGGATAAGCCCTTTCCCCCCCATCCCCGACCTCAGGCCTCCAAGGGCTGCAGTTCTACAGGCTACACCGGGAAGAAAGGCCCAACTACCGTCTCGAGTGCCTGCAGTGGCTGAAGAGCCAGCCTCGGTGGCCCAGCTGGGGCTGGAACCAGGTCTCCTGCCCTTGTTCCTGGCAGCAGGGACGACGGGACTTACGATTCCAACCCGTCAGCATAGGTGACACCTCCTTCCCGCCCCCCACAAGCCCACCCACCACCCTCTCTGCTCACGCCCTCAGCCTCTCCCCAGAAACAGCCCCTGCTTGTTCCCACCCCGCCCCTGGCAGCCCCAGCCTGGGCCTGAGTGGGACTGGACTTGTTTCAGGTCGCTGGGGCCTCGGCAGTAGGCAGCTGTGCAGCTTCACCTCTTGGCGAGGAGGCGTGTGCTGCAGCTACGGGCCCTGGGGAGAGTTTCGTGAAGGCTGGCACGTGCAGCGTCCTTGGCAGTTGGGTGCGTGAGTCCGTGATCTCAACCCCACCTTCCCGGCCAAGTAGGGGACCCTCAGCATGAAGCCTCTCGTCCTCATTCCTTCCCAGACCCTTCCCCTCTCTGGGCCTCCACTTCCTGATCGGGTAACGTTAGGAAGCTTCCAACATCCCCACCAGCGGACATTCGGGGATGTATGAGCTGAGAGCCTCTTTCCTCATCTCTATACCTGGCTCCACATCCCCAGGCCAGAGTGGGGCCATTTCTCCAGGCAAGAAGAGAGCGCCTAGGCTGACCCCGTCCCTGTAGACCCAGATGAGCAGGATGTTTGGGGGAAGACTGAGAGTCAGCTCCCACAGAGACGCTCCAAGGGAGCTGGAGAGCGCAGGGGTGTGGGGTCACGTGGTCTGTGTCCTCCCGTTCTCTCCCCCGTCCCATGGCAGTTTCCACAGTTCCCAGACCGTCAGCCGTGCCCTCCCCACTCCCAGCACGTTGAGAGCAGCAGTACTTGGCTCTCCACCCTCAAGACAGGAAATTTGCTTAGCTCCTACCATGCGCCCTGCTGCACAGTGGCCCCAATGCCTGCAAAAGAGACAGCACCCTATTCACTGCCCAAGGTCATGAGAAGGGCCATGCTGGATTCCAAAGCCATGCTCTTGCCACCAACACCGCCCTGCCCTACCAAGCTCTCCACCAACACCGCCCTGCCCTGCCAAGCTCTCCACCAACACCGCCCTGCCCTGCCAAGCTCTCCACCAACACCGCCCTGCCCTGCCAAGCTCTCAACCAACACCACCCTGCCCTGCCAAGCTTCTCCAGGTCCTCAACCTCCCCGACTCACTGCTGTTCTCCGCAGCCCAGGAACTGGAGCCACAGAGCTGGTGCTGCCGCTGGAATGACAAGCCCTACCTCTGTGCCCTGTACCAGCAGAGGCGGCCCCACGTGGGCTGTGCTACATACAGGCCCCCACAGCCCGGTGAGCGACAGGGCCCAGGCCCAGGAAGAGCCTCTGGGGAGGGGGAGCTTCTGGGCTTCCGGGAGGTGGCATCTGGATAAGGAGTAGGGGCAGAGCTGTGGCCACAAGGGAAGATGGAGATGACGCCAGTGATGGGTGGATGGTCAGTGGAGGGGCTTTGTACCTGAGTTGGGGAAGGAGTGAGAATAGCGGGGCACGAAAATGCAAGGAGGCTTGAGGGGAGGATTCTGTGCTCTGTGAACATCTCCCCAGCTGAGTCCGCCCGGACAAGTGCCCCAGTCGACTGCAGTGAGGAACCTCACCCTGAGTCCTCCTGGACAAGTGCCGCACCTGACTGCAGTGAGGAACCTCAGCCCTACACATGATTTGTCATGCTGAGGCAGCATCTCTTTTTTCCTTCCAGCCTGGATGTTCGGGGACCCCCACATCACCACCTTGGATGGTGTCAGTTACACCTTCAATGGGCTGGGGGACTTCCTGCTGGTCGGGGCCCAAGACGGGAACTCCTCCTTCCTGCTTCAGGGCCGCACCGCCCAGACTGGCTCAGCCCAGGCCACCAACTTCATCGCCTTTGCGGCTCAGTACCGCTCCAGCAGCCTGGGCCCCGTCACGGTGAGTGAGGGGTGCCGGGAACCTCCCTGCATTCCACCCACAGGGACCTTCAGCCACATACTGAGGCCGAGGAGAAGGAAGAGAGCGAAGGAGGGGAAGCCGGGCAGGAGGGAGGGAGGACACAGCCCATCCACGCAGCTGTCCCGGAGTAAATCCTGGGGATGGTGGATTAGGGCTCTGGCCCCACGGTTTCCCAGCTGCTTGGCTTCGAAGAAACTACTTAATTTGGTTTTCTCCTAGTAAGAATGGGGATGACATTACCTGCCTCACGGGCTGTTGTAAGAGCTAAAGGGCATAATCCGAAAACCATGCCTGGCCCTGCCGAGCACACGGTAGACGGCGGCTGGCATCACCTCAGGCCGCGGCCTCCAGCGCCTTCCTCCCGGCCCAGGGCGCAGCTTCCAGCCCCAGGGGCTCTCCCAGCTGCTTTCCTGGGCGTCGGCTCCACCTGCGGGTCGGGCTCAGGCCCCCTCCCATCTCCTTCCAGGTCCAATGGCTCCTTGAGCCTCACGACGCAATCCGTGTCCTGCTGGATAACCAGACTGTGACATTTCAGCCTGACCATGAAGACGGCGGAGGTAGGTTGGGGAGCGCCGGCCGCCCCCTCCCCGCACCGGGAGCAGCGAGGTGGGCGGGAAGCCGCGTTGCGGTGCAGGGCCGGGCGCGTGGCGGTGCAGGGCCGGGTGCGTTGTGGTGCAGGGCCGGGCGCGTGGCGGTGCCGCGCCGAGTGCTTTGCGGTGCAGGGCCGGGTGCGTTGTGGTGCAGGGCCCGGTGCGTGGCGGTGCAGGGCCCGGTGCGTGGCGGTGCAGGGCCGGGTGCGTGGCGGTGCAGGGCCGGGTGCGTGGCGGTGCAGGGCCCGGTGCGTTGCGGTGCAGGGCCGGGTGCGTTGCGGTGCAGGGCCCGGTGCGTGGCGGTGCAGGGCCGAGTGCGTTGTGGTGCCGGGCCCGGTGCGTGGCGGTGCAGGGCCCGGTGCGTGGCGGTGCAGGGCCAAGAGAGCGCAGCCTCTACCCCCGAGCGGGGCGTGCAGCTCGCCGGCCTCTTCTCCGCCTCCAGTGCAGACCCCTCCCGGCTTCAGCCCCAGGGGCGGGGTGGGGGTGGTGCGGGCCCGGCAGGGCGCGGGTTTGGTGCGGGCCGTGGTGCCGACCTGGCTTCCTCTCCGCTGCCTCCCGATGCTCCAGGCCAGGAGACGTTCAACGCCACCGGAGTCCTCCTGAGCCGCAACGGCTCTGAGGTCTCGGCCAGCTTCGACGGCTGGGCCACCGTCTCGGTGATCGCGCTCTCCAACATCCTCCACGCCTCCGCCAGCCTCCCGCCCGAGTACCAGAACCGCACGGAGGGGCTCCTGGGTGAGGGCGGCTCGGACCTGCCTCTGAGGCTCCGCGGAGCCAGCCGGAGCTCGGACCCCCACGCCGGCGGCCCGGGCAGCCCTGCTCGGCCTCCCTTTCTCCGCCTCCTTGGAGCAGAACCCTTGGGGCACAGAGCGGGCCGGGAGCCGAGGGGCTTCTCCAGCCTCCCCCGAGGCTCCCTTCCTGTCCTCCGCCCGCTCTAAGGGAGCATCAGGGGGGGCTGCGGGGAGGCGGGGGGCACAGCCATCCTTTCTCCCTTTCCTCTTGCCTCCCACATCCTCCCGCCCTCCTCCACCGCTGCCCGCGTTTCCTCCCGCCCCTCCCGAAGGCAGACGGGCAGGGTGTGAGGGCCCGTCCTCCCGGCTCCCCTGGAGGCCTGACAGCAGGTGCAAGAGCAGAGGCTGCCAGGCCCTGGCCTCTCCCCACTGCGTCCGCCGGATGCTCCCCAGGAAGGGGACAGCCGCGTGCCCAGGGTGGCCAACCTCCCACTCTGTCCCTCAGGGGTCTGGAATAACAATCCAGAGGACGACTTCAGGATGCCCAATGGCTCCACCATTCCCCCAGGGAGCCCTGAGGAGATGCTTTTCCACTTTGGAATGACCTGTGAGTCTGGGCAGGGTCCTGGGGCAGAGGGGCAGGTGAGGGGAGCCGGTATGTTTATGTCGTCCCCCTCGGCCCTGTAGGAAGCAGACCTCCATCCTCCCTAAGGTCTGAGGAATCTGTGCCCCCCCAGGGCTGTCCCCACCACCACCAGCCCACCTGCCTCTCTCTACCTGGAGGAGAGAATGGGGGACGTGGAGTGTCCTCTCTCACTGCAGCAGGTGTTTCTAGACTCAGAAGCTGGAAACCGCTCTGGCCCTGCACTCCCACCGCCCCGCTCCAAGCCATCTAAAGTGAGGGGTAGAGGTGGACACAGATGGAATAAGGCTGAGTGCCATGCCTGGTACCACCGCGCTCTGTGTGTTACAGGGCAGATCAACGGGACAGGCCTCCTTGGCAAGAGGAATGACCAGCTGCCTTCCAACTTCACCCCTGTTTTCTACTCACAACTGCAAAAAAACAGCTCCTGGGCTGAACATTTGATCTCCAACTGTGACGGAGATAGCTCATGCATCTATGACACCCTGGCCCTGCGCAACGCAAGCATCGGACTTCACACGAGGGAAGTCAGTAAAAACTACGAGCAGGCGAACGCCACCCTCAGTAAGTGGCCCGAGGCCTGGGGAGGCCTTTTCAGAGTCGGGAGCAGATGAGGAGCTGCCCTTGCCTGACCCTGCTTTTCCCTGTGCATCTGCATTCACTGAGCAGATTCTTCCACTCCTGGCATTCCTCTGCTCAAACCCTTCAGAGACTTCCCTGGCTCTCTCCATCCTTGCAGTGGCCTTCGGCCCAGTTCAGCTTCTCAGAGCTCTTCTCCTAGTGCTGGACGCCTTCCCAGCCCCCTCCGTCCATCCTAGCGCTGGATGCCTTCCCAGCCCCCTTCACTCCATACTAGCGCTGGACGCCTTCCCAGCCCCCTCCACTCCATCCTAGCGCTGGACCCCTTCCCAGCCCCCTCCATCCATCCTAGCGCTGGATGCCTTCCCAGCCCCCTCCACTCCATCCTAGCGCTGGACCCCTTCCCAGCTCCCTGCACTCCAGCCCCGCAGGCTCCTCTGTGTTCTTCAAACACGCTAGGTGCGCTCAGCTCCCAGGCTTCACACGTGCTGTTCTCTTGCCTGGAATACCCTTCCTTCCCTGGACAGCCACACGCTTGCCCCTCACCTTCTTTACGTCTTCATTCCAATGTCCCCTCCTTGGTGAGGCCTCTCTTGGCCGCCCTGTCTAAAATGTCACATTCACCCACACTTCATGTTTGCCTTCCCTGCTTTATTTTTTTCTCCTTAGCATTTATAATTACTCAACATATTTTATAATTTTCACAGGTATCTTTTTAATTATTCATTCATGACTGTATCCTCACCACCCAGAACAGTGCCAGCCACTTAGCTCAATAAATGTTTGTTAAATGACTGACTGAATGAATGTGTGAAGCAACTATGAAATGGAAATGGCAGGGCTCCGAGAAACAGACCCGTGAAGAGGTTTCACTCCCTCTCTATTTCTGGACAAATGCAATGTCCCTTTAGATGTGACCCTCCAGGTTTTGTGCGTGTGTGTGTGTGTGTTGACGGAGTTTCGCTCTTGTTGCCCAGGCTGGAGTGCAGTGACGTGATCTCGGCTCGTCGCAACCTCTGCTTCCCGGGTTCAAGCGATTCTTCTGTTTCAGCCTCCTGAATAGCTGAGATTACAGGCACCCGCCACCATGCCTGACTAATTTTGTATTTTTAGTAGAGACAGGGTTTCACCATGTTGGTCAGGCTGGTCGCGAACTCCTGACCTCAGGTTATCCACCGGCCTCGGCCTCCCAAAGTGCTGGGATTACAGACATGAGACACCCAGCACCCTTCAGGTTTTCAGCCCTTTGCCAAAGGTACAACCCTTTGGTCTAAGGGTACAACCCTTTGTAATGGTCCAAACAAATCTGCTCTCTAATTCACTTTTTGTCATACCCAGCATAGCACTGTGTTCAGGAAAGAATCTGAAAGGAGCTCTTTTTGAGGAGGTGGGGGGAGAGAAAGAGGCTAAAGATTTGGCTAGGTGGGCAGTACAGTCCCAGCCTGCTGTGCGTCAGTCGAGAGCAGGTACACAGAATAATTCCTTCTTCCAGAGGTGGGTCACAGTCCTGGGAATGCCTCACACATATTAGAGTTGAGAAAGAGAGGAGGCTGATAAAGCAGGAGACTGTCCTGCCTCGGAACCCCCATTCCCTCTTTGTGTTTCAGATCAGTACCCGCCCTCCATCAATGGTGGTCGTGTGATTGAAGCCTACAAGGGGCAGACCACGCTGATTCAGTACACCAGCAATGCTGAGGATGCCAACTTCACGCTCAGAGACAGCTGCACCGACTTGGAGCTCTTTGGTAGGACTATTTGGCTGGCTGGGGAGAGTGGGGAGGTGGGTAGGGGATGAGGTCAGAGTCAAATTTGGGAAATTCTGCATTGCTACACCCAGCAACACTTGCTGTCACTCTTTCATTTGAATATCCAGGACCGGCATTTCCGAGGAGCGATATCTATAACTCAAATAGGTGCCCCCCAGTAAGTAGTAGTGACGGGCTTACGGCGGTTTGGCCAGATAGCTAGAGTGACTCTGGGCACATAGAACTGATTCAAGGCTGGGCGCGGTGGCTCATGCCTGTCATCCCAGCGCTTTGGGAGGCCGAGGTGGGCGGATCATCTGAGGTCAGGAGTTCGAGACCAGTCTGGCCAACATGGTGAAACCCCGTCTGTACTAAAAATACAAAAAAAAAAAAAAAAGCCAGGCATGGTGGTGCATGCCTGTAATCCCAGCTACTCAGGAGACTGAGGCAGGAGAATCGCTTGAACCCAGGAGGCAGATGTTGCAGTGAGCTGAGATCGCGTCACTGCACTCCAGCCTGGTGACAGAGCGAGACTCTGTCTCAAAAAAAAGATTTGAAGATCATTTAATCTCAATCTGATCATATATAGTCATCTTTAGTCATTATGCATTCACCAAATTATTAGAATAATCAAGTGCAACATTTAAAATGACCAATTTACAACATTTTTATATCTATTAAAGGAAGGCTCTAATGTAGGACAAGATTTAAAGAAATATGAAAAATACTTTCGTTTGGTACCTTTCTTGCTCTTTTTGTCTGGCAACCATGTTTACCTAGCCGTGTCTCTCCTTGTCTGGTTTCCTGGGCTAGGACCCAGTAGAGTGCCATCGCTCCCTCTCCGTAAAGGTGTTAGAGACCCCGAGCCCTACATCCATGATCAGGGCCAAAGGCTCCAAGCACAAGGGACGCTGCTTTCGTCTGTTGCCAGCACTAATTCAAAGGGTCCAAGGGCATCAAAGGGATGCCACTTTCTGTCTGTTGCCAGCACTAATTCTGAGGGTGACTGTTCTTGGCTAAACCAAAGCCCCGGGGGGCATATTTTGCGTTCTCTTTGCCTCTCTGCCTGATGTTCTTTCTCTCTGTGTCTCAGAAGGGACTGCTTTGCCTGCATCCCTTTTGCCCCATGTGCGTCCTCCCAGGTGCGAGACAATGGCACTGAGAGGTTTTCTTCTCCACGGGCCCCACCCCTGAAGGACGATGGTCTGGAAATTACGTTCGTCTATTCTCTGTCACTTCCTTTCAATCTGCTGTTTTAAGGAGACTTTCCTATTTTCTTGAAAAATATCAGTTTGATCTGAAGATATGTAGTAGTGTTTCACTACAGTCTGGTGTCTGAAGGGGGTGTCTGGGAAAGGTCCAGGAAGTGGGGGGTGGGTGAGAAATCAGGGCAAAGGATGGGGCTGCCGTGAGAGTGAAGCCAGTTTGGCCGGCAGCGCAGCCTGGGGAGGTGTCTGGAGGATCCTGGCCTTGATCCTCCATCCCCCAGGATGTCCCATCCTGGTGTGAGCCCAGCCAGGGCTGCCCTTTGGGGTTTCTTCAGGAGGAAACTGCTTTCCCCTCTGTGGCGTTCCCCGCTACAATCAGTATGTTGGACTGGTGCCACGTCCTTCCAGCTGGGAGCGTGACCAGGATCACCCCCGATACCAGCCTTGCTCAAAGGAAATGACCAATGAGATTTGTCTGGGGAGGGGGAGGGTGGCCTGAGAGGGGTGGGGGAAGCCCCGTATCAGCAATCAGACCACAGAGCCGAGGAGTCTCCCAGCTCTCAACATTCTCATCTTCCCCGGGGCAGAGAATGGGACGTTGCTGTGGACACCCAAGTCGCTGGAGCCATTCACTCTGGAGATTCTAGCAAGAAGTGCCAAGATTGGCTTGGCATCTGCACTCCAGCCCAGGACTGTGGTCTGCCATTGCAATGCAGAGAGCCAGTGTTTGTACAATCAGACCAGCAGGGTGGGCAACTCCTCCCTGGAGGTGAGTGTTGGGAGGTGGGGGAGGAGTTTCTGTGCCGAGGGGAGAGGAAATGGGAGTGGAATGGATGCTGTGATTCTGCCTGTCCTGGGTGTGTCTGTGTTGGGAGATGGGTGGAGCAGTGGTAGGTGAGTAGAGCAGATTCCAGTCTCAGGCCACAAACTCACATGGGAAGAAAGAGAACTTTCTGGCCGGGTGCAGTGGCTCACGCCTTTAATCTCAGCACTTTTGGAGGCTGAGGCAAGCGGATCACAAGGTCAGGAGATCGAGACCATCCTGACCAACATGGTGAAACCCCATCTCTACTAAAAATACAAAAATTAGCTGGGCGTGGTGGCAGGCGCCTGTAGTCCCAGCTACTCGGGAGGCTGCGGCAGGAAAATCGCTTGCACCCGGGAGGTGGAGGTTACAGTGAGCCAAGATTGCGCCATTGTACTCCAGCCTGGGCAACAGAGTGAGACTCTATGTCAAAAAGAAAGAAAAGAAAAGAAAAGAAAAGAAAAGAAAGAAAGAAGGAGGGAAAGAAAGGAAAGGAAAGAAAGGAAAGGAAAGAAAGGGAAAGGAGAAAAAGAAAGAAAGAAAGAAACTATATTGGAGAAAAAGAAGGACGAAAGAAAGAAAAAGGAAGGAAGGAAGGAAAGAGGAAAGAACCTTACTTTATTGCTTATAGTTCAACTGGATTTTTATCTCCCACCTCCCCTTCTGCCAGGTTGGCAGGAAACTTCCACCTCCGTCTTTCTCACAGCGCCCCACAGCTCTGCGGCGAAGCCCAGCAGAGGGCCCTGCGGTGTGGGGTGGAAGGTGGTTGTGGGTCCCTGGGCGTGAGTCCACACAGGTTTCCATCACAGCTCCGCCCCACTTCCCCTTCAGACCCAGGGAGAGGCTCTGCTGCTTCTGTGCCTTGCTCAGACACAGGACACCTTTTCTGAGGCCGCTTACAGTCCTGTCTGCCTAGAAGCACCCCACAGTCATTTCTCCCTAGGATGTCATCATCACGGTGCTGGGAAGAGAGCTGCGGGTCCCTCTATCTTGACACCTCCAAGCCCCTTTGCTTTCTCTTTTACTATCTCCTTCCAGCTAAAAGAAACATCTTTTCCAGTTTGGAGAAACTACTTCTCCATGTTTCTAGCCAAGATACTTGGCCTAATTCCACGACTCTTGTCCTATCTGCTTTTTTATTTTTATTTTTGGTTGTAAAGGAAGAGCCAGAAAGGAAAGTGTTTATCTGGCAACACAAAACTACCTCCTTCACCACTTACACACACACGCATGCACACGCACACACAGACACACACACACATCCTTCTGAAGCATGAGCAGAGAATGGGTACTCGAAAGGGATAGAGGTAGGGACGGTTGGTGGGGTAGGGGGTAGAAAAGCATAAAATACACAATGGGAAAAAGAGATTGAAATCAATATACTATTCCACAGATCCCCAAATATCCACTCTTGGGAGTAGCAAGTGTTAGAGGATTCCATTTTAGGGAGATTCCCCGAGTCGCTTCAGTAAGGGAGTTAGAAAGGGGAGCGCAGGGAGCTTGGTGAGGTCTCGGCGCCGCAGCCTTTGCTGAGCTGCTGTACTGGCTGCTGTGTTTTCTCACAGTGCTCAGCAGGGAGGCTCTGTCTTCTTGGTTTGGGAGTCAGCAAGGGAGGTCAATTTCAGCTTATATGAAATCCAGTTTGCAGGCCACATAGGAGCCTGAGGCAGGCGGATTGCTTGAGCTCAGGACTTTGAGACCAGCCTGGGCAATATGGCAAGACCCTGTCTCTACTAAAAATCAAAAAATTAGCTGGGCGTGGTGGCATATGCCTGTAATCTCAAGTATTTGGGAGGCTGAGGCACAAGAATTGCTTTAACTTGGGAGGGGGACATTGCAGTGAGCCGAGATCGAGACACTGCACTGCAGCGTGGGAAACAGAACGAGACTGTCTCATTAAAAAAAAAAGCAGAAGAAAAATACAAAAATTAGTGGGCGTGGTGGTGCATGCCTGTAGCCCCAGCTCCTCGGGAGGCTGAGGTGGGAGGATGGCTTGAACCTGGGAGGTGGAGTTTGCAGTGAGCCAAGATCAAGACATTGCACTCCAGCCTGGGCAACCGAGTGGGACCCTGTCTCAAAATAAATAAGGAATCCAGTTTTCAAGCAATAGGACATACATGGATACATACACACATGGATACATACACACATGGATACACACATATGGATACATACATGGATACATGCATACATGCATGACACACACATACATACATGGATACATACATGGATACATACATTGATACATATCTACATGGATACATACATGATACATACACACATGGATACACACATGGATACATACATGCATACATGCATGGATACACACATACATACATGGATACATACATACATGGATACATACATCTATACATGGATACATTCATTCATTCATTCATGCTTCAATCATTCATGCATCCCCCATCTTACTCTAGAAAGGATTTCAGGCAAAGAGCTAGAGTGTGAGAGGGAAGAGGCTGAGATCCTGGTGCAGGGCCAGGCAGGGGGTCAGGGTAAACAATGACCCAGGGAGGCCAGCTGGGCAGGACTACCGTGTGGCTTTAGGCAGGGCCTTGCCGCCCCACGGCCTGGTCAAGAAGGTGCTCAGCAGGTGCTGGTGGGGCTGAGACATGACTCAGGGTCCACGGGTTCTCAGGCCAAAGGGGTCAGTCAGAAACACCCAGAAGCCCTTCCCAGTTTGGTCTCCTGGCCGCCCGTGATCGGCAACCCTCCTCCAGGTGGCTGGCTGCAAGTGTGACGGGGGCACCTTCGGCCGCTACTGCGAGGGCTCCGAGGATGCCTGTGAGGAGCCGTGCTTCCCGAGTGTCCACTGCGTTCCTGGGAAGGGCTGCGAGGCCTGCCCTCCAAACCTGACTGGGGATGGGCGGCACTGTGCGGGTGAGCCGGGAACAGGGCCTGGAGCAGGCGCTTCTGGGAGCAGCTGATAGCTCAAGGGTGTAGACAGCCAAAGGCAAACCATTTCTCTCCTTTTTCCAGCAGATCTTTAGAATGCTCAATCTAGGCAGGTGTGGGAAATCTAGGCAGGTGTGGGAAATCATCTAGGCAGGTATGGGAAATCTAGGCAGGCCTGGAAAGGGGGTGGTGGATGGTGTGGGGCTGAAGGAGAAGAGGTTGTACAGGCATAGGGGAGGGGACGGGGCTGGGCATCCCTGAGGCATTGATGGGGGGAGCCCCGGGCGAAAGACTGAAGATGGTTTGGGGAGGAGACTTCAGCAGCCGCCAGAGAACCGGGCAAGCTGGGTCCTCGGGATCCCTGGGGATCTTCAGAGACACGAGGCTCAGGATCTCTGCATCTCACGAGTCAGGACGTTTGGAGGGGCTGGCGTGGGGATCCGGCAGCAAAGGTGCCTGATTTTCCCTTTGAGTCCTCCCAGCCATCTGTTCCTCCCGCTCTGAGTCACCAGAGTCTGATGAGGGAGATCACAGCGAGGCCTTTACCAAGCCCCCTAAGGCACCCAAATAAAATCTACAGATCACTGTGCCTTCAGAGCCGAGGCCAGAGTGGGTAGAACCGCAGCTTTTATAAAGGCAGAAAAGGAGATGGACGTGAGAGGGGAGGGCGTGAGGAAAGCCAGCTGGGGGCCCCTCCTCTGCCAGCCTTCGGGGTCCTTTCTGAAGCAGAGGGTCTGAGAAACACTCCAGTCCCTCCACAAAAGTGGAAGAATACCTGTCTGGCCGGGGAAAGGGGTTGCCCTGCAGAGAAACGCCTGGAAAAGGGGGGAAGGATGGTTTGGGGTTCCGAGTGGCCCGAAGTGGAACACTGGGGGAAAGCAAGCCTGTCCCGGAGCGGGTTTCCACGGGCTGGGCCGTCCCTCTGCTGCCCTGCGCGCTGCTGCTGACCTCCCTACTCACTCTGCAGCTCTGGGGAGCTCTTTCCTGTGTCAGAACCAGTCCTGCCCTGTGAATTACTGCTACAATCAAGGCCACTGCTACATCTCCCAGACTCTGGGCTGTCAGCCCATGTGCACCTGCCCCCCAGCCTTCACTGACAGCCGCTGCTTCCTGGCTGGGAACAACTTCAGTCCAACTGTCAACCTAGGTACCGCCAGAGACCCCGCCCTCTCACCCCCGCACTCTTCCTGGGCCCCACCCTCTCACCCCCGCACTCCGCCCACCTTTGGGGAAGATGAGGAAGCTCTGGGGTCACAGGACAGAGCTCCAGATTTCTCTGGGATGGTGTAAGGTGCGGGCTATGGGAGCTGGCGAGGCAAGCTGTCACGGCAAGGACCACGGGCCTGTGTGGCCTATGGAGGAAGGACGGAGGCAGAGACCTCACAGCTGGCTCAGTGAGATGAGCGCTGGGGAGGCCCGGAGCATAGTGGAGTGAGCCCTAGCGTGAGGGCCACTTCTCCCGGTTTCTTCAGCAACCTTCTGTCACTGTGGAATGTAGGGTGAGGGCCACTTCTCCCGGTTTGCTCAGCGACCTTCTGTCACTGTGGAATGTAGGGTGAGGGCCACTTCTCCCGGTTTCTTCAGCGACCTTCTGTCACTGTGGAATGTAGGGTGAGGGCCACTTCTCCCGGTTTCTTCAGTGACCTTCTGTCACTGGAATGGAGCAGTCAACTTGGGCTGGCCCGACAGACTTTTTGGGTAAGTCTGGGTAAACCGTGGGGTGATGATACATTTGCTTCTCCCATCTCCAGAACTTCCCTTAAGAGTCATCCAGCTCTTGCTCAGTGAAGAGGAAAATGCCTCCATGGCAGAAGTCAACGCCTCGGTCAGTGCTGCAGGCCGCGCTCTGGGTGGGAGGGGGCGCTTGGCGGGTTCAGGCCAGGGCGGAACCATCGCTGTGCGGCCTTCATCTTGTCATCCATCTGGATTCAACTGCCAGAGGAGGCCGGAGCCTCTTGCCCCATGGGAGGTGCAGGGCATTAGGAAGTGAGGAAGGCCCAAGACAGAAACCTCGACTCATCATAAGCAGAGGCCAGGGTGCCAAGTCACCCCAGCCGAGACCTCTAAGCATCTTGGTTATGATCTGAAAGAAACTAAAGGACATTTCACCTCCCGGGAGTCTTCCCTGACTTCCCAGAGGGAACGGGCGGCTCCCTCTTCTTGGCTGCCATGCCATACCTCAGTCACAGGCAAAGTGGCACAACTGCTGAGTGGTTGGGGCTGTAGAATCCTGCACACCCAGAATCAGAATCCCTGCTCTGCCCCTCACTAGAGCAGGTGTGCTAACTAGACACATCATATAACAGGTCATCTGTAAACACAGGGACAATCATAGCACCTGAGTCAACAGGCCGTATCACCGTTTAAATGATAACGCGTGTCAAGCATTTAGTCCAGTGCCTGACACACAAGTATTCAAACATGATGACTGCTATTATCACTACTGCAAGCCTAGCACTCCCCACTCCACACTCCACACGGTAAAATCTGTTGACATTTGTCACCTGCGCCAGACAATGCACTCTTTGAGTTTAGACTCCACCTAAGTCACCTTGACACCCCCAGCCCCGACCATCTCCTAGGTCTAAACAACCCATGTTCAATATACTGGGGAGGAGGTCATGAGTCATGTGTCAGAGGCAAGGTAGGGGCCATTCATGTCAGATTCTCTGCTCGTCATATGAGGCTGAGGGGGGGACAGAATGGAAAACCCTTCACTCTCAACAAACATTATTAAGCAAGGACCCATGACACTCACTGAGCTAGGCTAGAGTGCAAGGGTGCAGAGACAGGTGAGGAAGGTGCTGGGGTCCTGGGGCTCCCGTTCCAGGAGGAAACAGGGATGAATACACCCATCAAGGTGGGAGGGCGTCTCCCCCCCGGATGGGGCCTCACCCCCACCCCCATCTGCCATCCTCTAACCTAGGTGGCATACAGACTGGGGACCCTGGACATGCGGGCCTTTCTCCGCAACAGCCAAGTGGAACGAATGTAAGTGGGACTGTGTCCCCCTAAGCCCCCAGATCTCTTCCTCATCCCCCACCCCCAGCCCCCCACCCCCCCTCACCGTTGCCCTCCCACACAGCGATTCTGCAGCACCGGCCTCGGGAAGCCCCATCCAACACTGGATGGTCATCTCGGAGTTCCAGTACCGCCCTCGGGGCCCGGTCATTGACTTCCTGAACAACCAGCTGCTGGCCGCGGTGGTGGAGGCGTTCTTATACCACGTTCCACGGAGGAGTGAGGAGCCCAGGAACGACGTGGTCTTCCAGCCCATCTCCGGGGAAGACGTGCGCGATGTGACAGCCCGTGAGTCCGTCCATTCCGGGGACACTATGGGGGTCACTGCGGGGGGCGGGCAAACAGAGGTGCTTCAGCCCACACAAACAAGCTAATTGAGTTTTTCTGTTTGTTTGGTTTTGAGCGAAAACGTGAACATTTTGTCCAGCTGCTTTTTAGATTCGAGAGCAGGAGCAGCCAGCACTGCTGAGGCAGTCACACGTATACAGCTTCACGGAGCAAGCACCCAGCCAGGGCCTTGCTGACTGTGGCTGCTAATAAAACAGCAGCAATTTAGTTTCATAAAATTGCTAATAGTTTTCTTAAAATGCCATTGCACTTAAGCATACACAGGGACACCCCCATCGTCTCTGCTCTCCAGCGGGAGGATATGAAGCTGGAGACTGGAGACTGGCCAGGGACAGAGGCAACTACTCCCTGAAATGGTGTCACCCTGTGCAAGCACCTTCCCCAGGCCAGGCCAGGCCTCAACACCCCCCAGCACCTTCCCCAGGCCAGGCCAGGCCTCAACACCCCCCAGCACCTTCCCCAGGCCAGGCCTCAACACCCCCCAGCACCTCCCCGAGGCCAGGCCTCAACACTCCCCAAGCACCTTCCCCAGGCCAGGCCTCAGCACCCCCATCTGAAAATGAGATGGGATTTCTGAGCCCCCTTTCAGTGCTGACAGCCCCCGGTTTTCCTGGAACAGGAATAAGTTGGCAAGCTTGTCAGAGAAACAAAGGAATAACACGTCCTATTTTCTGTATAGGGCAGAGAACAGGGCAGGGGCCGCCCCAAACACAACAGGAACTGCTGTTTTACTTGGGTCTGGGACCAAGCAAGAGCTTCTCCCAGAATCCAGGCTAAGCCCGCTCTCTCCCGGAGCAGGGGGTGAAATCCCTCAGAACTACTGTATGTTGGGGAGTTGGGGTAGGAGGCGCAGGGAGGCAAGCCCTGACTATGCAATTAAGGAAAACCTATAATTTTTATTATACAAGCATCGTATGTTTATTGCAGAAACTTTAGGAAACACAAACTTAACAAAAAGAAAAGAGGAAAAAAACCCTGTAATCCCAATCCCCAGAGAGACAACAGTATTTCCTACATATCCTTCTGAACTTTCTTTTATGCCTAGGAACCTTCAGACATCCATTTTTTACTGAAGGATCAAATCATTCCTAATGTTGGAAAACCTCCTCATTAAACAGTTGTGAACAGGTTGTCTCATATATTCTGTCCACATTCCCATTTGACATATTATGATGGTATGTTTGAATATAGTGTCATATTTTAAAATACATTATAATAATCATTACCATTGTTTGAGTGCTTACTGTGTGTCCGGCACTGTACTGAGTACTGTGGACACATTATCTCATTTAAATCTCACAGCAGCATAAGTGCTATTATGATCATTTCCTTTTAAAGATAAGGAAACTGAAGCTGAAAGAGTGAAGGAATGTTCCCTGAATTACACATCTAGTCACTAGCAGAGTTTCAGTTTCCACCCAAGTCTGGCCACCTTCAAAGCATGTGCTCTTCAGGAAAGCATTTTCCATAGGAACCTTTTTCCACAGGAACCTTTTTCCCTAGGAACCTTTTTCCCTAGGAAACTTTTTCCATAGGAAGCACCATCCCTTGGTAAGGATGTGCAGTAGTTTATTTAACCAGACCCTACTTCTGAAACGTTACTATTATCCACCATGCTGATCTGAACGTCCAGGGGCATATGTATCTGTGCACTTCTCCAATTATTTCTCAGGATAAACACCCGAAAAGGAATTCGTGGCTGAAAAGGTACTGATTTAGTGTTCATCGGTTGCTTTCTGTGTTAATCTGTGTCCTTCCCGACAGTGAACGTGAGCACGCTGAAGGCTTACTTCAGATGCGATGGCTACAAGGGCTACGACCTGGTCTACAGCCCCCAGAGCGGCTTCACCTGCGTGTCCCCGTGCAGTAGGGGCTACTGTGACCATGGAGGCCAGTGCCAGCACCTGCCCAGTGGGCCCCGCTGCAGGTGCATAGGGCTGTGGCCAGGAGGTGGAGGACAGTGCTGGGGAACCCAAGCTGGGCAAGACACTGCAAGGGGTCCAGGAATTAGGATGGCTCGAGAGATCAGAGACCAGGGAAGAGAGGACAGTGGAAAAGGAGAGTTGTGAGTGCCTGCTCTGTGTGGAGAATAAAGGCGCTATATTACAAACTCTGAAACCCAAAAGAGCCATAGGGGGGCTTAGAACTATTTCGAAGATGAGAAAACTGCAGCTTAGAGATGACAAGGAACCTGCCCCAGGACGCAGTAGGTTAAGCAGCAGGGCATGGTTTCCAAAGCCAAACATTTTTTATATTTTTATGTTTTGAGATGGAGTGTCATTTGTCGCCCAGGCTGGAGTGCAGTGGTGCGTTCTCGGCTCACTGCAACGTCCTTCTCCCGCGTTCAAGCGATTCTCCTGCCTCAGCCTCCCGAGTAGTTGGGACTACAGGCATGCACCACCACGCCCAGCTGATTTTTGCATTTTTAGTAGAGACGGGGTTTCGCCATGTTGGTCAGGCTGGTCTCGAACTCCTGACCTCAGGTGATCCGTCCACCTTGGCCTCCCAAAGTGCTGAGATTACAGGCGTGAGCCACCGCGCCAGGGCCCAAAGTCAAACCCTCCCACCTGATCTGGCTGCTGCTTCCCTGCTGTCTCCTTGTGGGAAAAGAACCTGCAGTCCTGTGTCTAGGCCAGTCCTGCCCCTCAGTCAAGCGAGGCGCCTTTGCCCCTGCCCTCATCAGCAGTCCCCGGGGCTCCGCTGGTTAACAGCGCAGGAAGCCGCGGCCCCACGCAGACCTGGGCTCCGGGCCCTCCGCCAGCTGCAGTTCCAGATCCCGCCGAAGGAGGGGGCGGGCGGAGCGCGGGTGGGGCGGGGCCCGGCTCTCCGGGTGGGCGGGGCGGGGCGGGGCCGGGCTGGGGCGGGGGTGTGACTGCGCATGCCCACCTGTGGCCGGCATCCCTGCCGCCCAGGTGCAGCTGACTGCACGTGCAGCTGAATTCACACCAGGTTTTTGTTTTTGTTTTTTGAGACGGAGTCTTGCTCTGTCCCCCAGGCTGGAGTGCAGTGTTGCAATCTCGGCTCACTGCAACCTCCACCTCCCAGGTTCAAGCGATTCTGCCTCAGCCTCCTGAGTAGCTGGGATTACAGGTGCGCACCACCACGCCTGGCTAATTTTGTATTTTTAGTAGAGATGGGGTTTCACCGTGTTGGCCAGTCTGGTCTCGAACCCCTGACCTCAAGTGATGCGCCCGCCTCAGCCTCTCAATGTGCTGGGATTACAGGCGTGAGCCCCCGCGCCGGCCCAGGCCCATGTTTTTAAAGCCCACACCTGCCTCCTTTGCCCAGTGGTCTCACTTCAGCACGGCCTCAGGGCTGACTCAGTCTCTCCGGAGAGTGGGGCGAGCCCAGCCTCTCCTACAGAACCTCTTCTTCCCCAGCAGAAGAGGAGGGGCTGGGAGGCTGAGCTCCCGCCTCTGACCGCCTGTCTGTCTCTCTTGGTCACCAGCTGTGTGTCCTTCTCCATCTACACGGCCTGGGGCGAGCACTGTGAGCACCTGAGCATGAAACTCGACGCGTTCTTCGGCATCTTCTTTGGGGCCCTGGGCGGCCTCTTGCTGCTGGGGGTCGGGACGTTCGTGGTCCTGCGCTTCTGGGGTTGCTCCGGGGCCAGGTTCTCCTATTTCCTGAACTCAGCTGAGGCCTTGCCTTGAAGGGGCAGCTGTGGCCTAGGCTACCTCAAGACTCACCTCATCCTTACCGCACATTTAAGGCGCCATTGCTTTTGGGAGACTGGAAAAGGGAAGGTGACTGAAGGCTGTCAGGATTCTTCAAGGAGAATGAATACTGGGAATCAAGACAAGACTATACCTTATCCATAGGCGCAGGTGCACAGGGGGAGGCCATAAAGATCAAACATGCATGGATGGGTCCTCACGCAGACACACCCACAGAAGGACACTAGCCTGTGCACGCGCGCGTGCACACACACACACACACACACGAGTTCATAATGTGGTGATGGCCCTAAGTTAAGCAAAATGCTTCTGCACACAAAACTCTCTGGTTTACTTCAAATTAACTCTATTTAAATAAAGTCTCTCTGACTTTTTGTGTCTCCAAAACCAGGAATTCCATTCTTGATTTTCTTCTGGTGGCCGAAGGGCTGGACACAGACTTCTCCCAACCATCAGAGGGCACAGAGTGTGGAGGTTAAGTGCTGGGCAGCAGTGGAGCATTAGGGGCAGCTGGATCCAGTCCTAATCAGCCCGGTTACCCATGCTGGAAACCCTCAGTTGCTCCACCCCAACCTTGCTTCATGCTCCACATCACCTTCTTCTTCCCCCACCCCAGCACAGGCCAAAGCTTCGCCCGCTAAGGAGGAGAGCGAAAGAGATACCCCAAGATGGAGTGCCCCAGACTCTCTCCCAGGACCCCTCCCTGCCTGCCTGTCCATCAGTTTCACAAAAGTCGTAAAAGGATCAATGCACAGTGTGTTTACCTGTCTGGTGGCTGTCCCCACCGCCTGCGTTTCATGGAAGAGCGATTAAACCATTTCAGCTCCCTTTCCAGGAACCAACTCAAGAAACATGCCACCACCCCACCCTTAGATCTGGAGGGCCCGACCCCTCATATACCCTCTCTGTCCTTTCCCGGACCCCAGATGGAGTCTTCTGAGGTTCTCCATCCCACAGCCCTTCACCTCTACCCTGCCTCCACTTGCCCCAGCAACCTGATCAGCTTCCACAGAATCCTCTCAGCAGGCGGGACTTTTACACCTATCTGGTGTAATAACTCCAACACAATTGGTCCACAATTCCTGTGTCTAGAAAATCTCAATTCCAACTTTATGCAGAAACTAGGTAGCTGCCTCTTAGTTCTAAATCCCAAATCCCTGAAGAGAGAATCTGACTGGTCCAATTTACATCAGTTGTTTATGCCTGGTCCAATAAAATGTAGTCATGGGGTCAGAAAGGAGGTCACATGGTGCAAAGCAGGTGTTCAAGCTCATTCTTGCGGGTGGGTAAGTGCTGTTGAAGGAAGCTCCCAAAGGAATATCTTTGGTTGGGCACGGTGGCTCACGCCTGTAATCCCAACATTTTGGGAGGCCAAGGCGGGCAGATCACTTGAGGCCAGGAGTTTGAGACCAGCCTGGCCAACATAGTGAAACCCTGTCTCTACTAAAATACAAAAATTCGCTGGGCATGGTGGCACACGCCTATAATCCCAGCTACTCAGGAGGCTGAGGCAGGAGAATCTCTTGAACCCAGGAGGCGGAGGTTGCAGTGAGCTGAGATTGTGCCACTGCACTCCAGCCTGGGCAACAGAGCAAGACTCTGTCTCAAAAAAAAAAAAAAAAAAAAAATATATATATATATATATATATAAAGAATATATATATAATCTTTGTATTAGGGTTCCCTAGAGGGTCAGGACTAATAGGATAGATGTATATATAAAGGGGAGTTTATGAAGGAGTATCGACTCACACGATCACAAAGTGAGGTCCACAATAGGCTGTCTGCAAGCTGAGAAGCAGGGAAGCTAGTCTGAATCCCAAGATCTCAAAAGTAGGGAAGCCGACAGTGTAACCTTAAGTCTGTGGCAGAAGGCCCAAGAGCCCCTGACAAACCACCAGTGTAAGTCCAAGAGTCCAAAAGCTGAAGAACTGGAAGTCCGATGTTTGAGGGCAGGAAGCATCCAGCACGGGAGAAAGATGAAGGCTGGAAGACTTAGCCAGTGTAATCCTTCCACATTCCTCTGCCTGCTTTATTCTGGCTATGCTGGCAGCTGATTAGATTGTGTCCACCCAGACTGAGAGTGAGCCTGCCTCTCCCAGTCCACTGATTCAAATATTAGTCTCCATTGCCAACACCCTCACAGAGAGACACCCAGGAACAATACGTTGCATCCTTCAGTCCAATCAAGTTGACACTCAATATTAACCTTCACAGTCTTTGATCTGAGCAGACTCCAAACTTACATGGAGAATGACTTCTCCCAATAGGTGAAGCCACTCTCCTACATACAAAGCTGTAGCTTTACCCTCATATGCCCCAAAGTGGAATGTAATGAAGTCTCCATACAAAACTGCAGTCACAGCATTCATTTATCAAGAAGCAAGCACACAGCACAGATGAGTTCGCTGGTGAATTTTAGCAGATATTTAAGGGGAAATAATACCTATTTTCTGCAATCTTTTCCAGAAGATAGAAGCAGGAGGAATACTTCCTAAGTCATTTGTCACTGTCACCCTAATGCCAAAACGGGACAAAGACATTACAAGACGACTATAGACCAATATATCTCACATAGATGCAAAAATTACCAACAAAATATTAGCAAATACAGTTCAACAATATGTAAAAAGAATTATAGGCCATGACCAACAGAGATTTATCCCAGGTATGCAAGACTGGTTCAATATTCAAAAATCAGCTAATGCAATCCGTTACATCAACAGGCTAGAGAATAAAAATCACATGATCGGCCAGGCATGGTGGCTCACGTCTGTAATCCCAGCACTTTGGGAGGCCGAGGCAGGCGGATCACGAGTTCAGGAGATCGAGACCATCCTGGCTAACACGGTGAAACCCCATCTCTACTAAAAACACAAAAAATTAGCTGGGCGTGGTGGTGGGCGCCTGTAGTCCCAGCTGCTTGGGAGGCTGAGGCAGGAGAATGGTGTGAACCCAGGAGGCGGAGATTGCAGTGAGCCGAGATCACACCACTGCACTCCAGCCTGGGTGACAGAGTGAGACTCTGTCTCAAAAAATAAATAAATAAATAAATAAATAAATAAATAAATAAAAGAATATCTACAAAAACCTACAGCTAACATCATCCTTAACGGTGAGAAATTAGATGCTTTCCCCTAAGATTAGTAACAAGGCAAGAACGTCCCCTCTCACCATCGATTCTCAACATCCTGCTGGAGGTCTTGGCCAATGCAACTAGACACAAAAGGGAAATAAAAGGTATACAGAATAAAAAGGAAGAAACAAAACTGCTTTGTTCACAGATGACACAATCATCTATGTTAAAAAATCTAAGAGTTGACAAAAGGAAAAAACCCCAGAACAAAGAAGCAATTTCAGACAAGTTTCATGATATAAGGTTAGTGTCCTAACGTCAACAGCTTTCGTGTGTGCCAGCAAAGAACAATTGGAATTTAGAATTAAAAATATTTGAGCAAGACAGGAAACAAAAAAAGAAAAATGAATAATAAAATTAAATACATATGACCATTTACATTAGCATCCCCCAAAATGAAATACTGAGGTGTAAATGTAACAAAATATGTACAAGATCTATATGAGAAAAACTATAAAACTCTGATGAAAGATATCAAAGAACTTCATAAATGGGATGACATTCTATGTTTATGAACAGGAAGACTCTTTTTTTTTTTTTTTTTTGAGATGGAGTCTCCCTCTGTCACCCAGGCTGGAGTGCAGTGGCACCATCTCAGCTCACTGCAACCTCAGCCTCCCGGGTTCAAGCAATTCTCTTGCCTCAGCCTCATGAGTAGCTGGGATTACAGGCACACACCACCACGCCTGGCTAATTTTTTTTTGTATTTTTAGTAGAGATAGGGTTTCGGCATTTTGGCCAGGCTGATCTCAAACTCCTGACCTCAGGTGATCCACCCTCCTCGGCATCCCAAAGTGCTGGGATTATAGGTGTGCGCCAGCACAACAGGCCAGAAGACTCAATATTATTAAGATAGCAGTTCTCAATATTATCAAGATAGCAGCAGATCAAGATAGCCAACTTGATCTACAGATTCTACATAATGACACAATCTTAATCAAAATCCCAGGAAGTTATTTGTAGATATGGATAAACTGGCTCTAAAGTTTATGTGGAGAGGCAAAAGATCCAAAATAGCCAAATCAATATTGATGGAGAATGGTCAGAGGACTGATACCACCTGACTTCAAGGCTTACTCTAAAGCTATAGTCATGAAAGCAGCATGATACTGGCAAAAGAATAGACAAATAGATCAATGGAACAGAATAGAGAGCCCAGAATATTAAAAGTAATATTTCTAATAGACCTGTATAAATGTGTCAACTGATCTTTGACAAAGCAGCAGAGGCCACACAATGGAGCAGAGATAGTGTTTTCAATAAATGACGCTGGGACAACCGGACATCCACAAGCAAAAAAAAAAAAAAAAAAAATCTAGACACAGACCTTATACCTTTCATAAAAACTCAAAATGAATCATAAACCTCAATAAAATGCAAAACTGTAAGACTCCCAGAAGATAATATAGGAGAAAATCTAAATGACCTTGAGTATGGTGATGACATTTTAGATACAATAGCAAGGGCATGATCCATGAAGGAAATAATTGATGAGCTGAACTTCATTAACATTAAAAACTTCTTCTCTGTGAAAGGCAATGGCAAGAGAATGAAAATATTTGCAAAAGTCCCATCTGATTAAAGACTTTTATCTAAAATATACAAAGAGCCGGGTGCACTGGCTCAGACCTGAAATCCCAGCACTTTGGGAGGCTGAGGTAAGCGGATCAATTGAGGTCAGGCGTTGGAGACCAGCCTGGCCAACATGGTGAAACCCTGTCTCTACTAAAAATACAAAAATTAGCTGGGTGTGGTGGCGGGCGCCATTACTACTACCAGTAGTAGTAATCCCAGCTACTCGGGAGGCTGAGGCAGGATAATCACTTGAACCCAGGAGGCGGAGATTGCAGTGAACTGAGATCGCGCCACTGCACTCCAGCCTGGGCAACAGAGTGAGACTCTGTCTCAAAAAATATTAATTAATTAATTAAATATACAAATAACTCTTACAACTCAACAATAAGAAAATGAACAACCCAGTTTTTTAAATGGGTAAAAAAACTGAACATACATATCACCAAAGAAGACATTCACATGGCACATAAGCATCTACAAAGATGTTCAACATCGTATGTCATTAGGGAACCGCAAACAACGCGAAACCCATGCACACCCGTTAGAATGACCACAATCGCCAGGCATCGTGGCTCACAACTGTACTCAATACACACCTGTTAGAATGACCACAGTCACCAGGCACTGTGGCTCACACCTGTACTCCCAGCACTTTGGGAGGCTGAAGCAGGAGGATCACTGGAGCCCAGGAGTTTGAGACCAGCCTGGGCAACAAAGCAAGATCCCATCTCTACAAAAAATTAAAAAATTATATGGGCACGGTAGCATGTGACTGTGGTCCCAGCTACTCTGGAGGCTGAGATGGCAGGATTGCTTGAGCCCAGGAGGTTGAGGCTGCAGTGAGCCGCGATCCAGCCTTCACTCCAGCCTGAGCAATGGAGTGAGACCCCGTCTCAAAAGAAAAAGAAAAAAAGAATGATCAAAATCCACAGCACTGAAAACTTCAAATGCTGTTCAGGATGTGGAGCAACAGGAACCCTCCTTCATTGCTGGTGGGAAGGCAACATGGTACAACCACTTTGGAAGACAATTTGGCAGTTTCTTTTTTTTTTTTTTTTTTGGAGATGGAGTCTGGCTCTGTCGCCCAGGCTGGAGTGCAGTGGCACGATCTCGGCTCACTGCAAGCTCCGCCTCCCGGGTTCACGCGATTCTCCTGCCTCAGCCTCCTCAGCAGCTGGGACCACAGGCGCCCGCAATTTGGCACTTTCTTACCAAACTAAACCATACTCTTACTATGCAGTCCAGCAATCACACTCCTTGATATTTACCCAAAGGGACAGAAAACGTTTTTGTCCACACGAAAACCTGCACATGGAGGTTTATAGCAGCTTTATTCATAATTTATAGCAGCTTTATTCATAATTGCCAAAACTTGGAAGCAACCAAGATGTCCTTCAGCAGGTGAACGGGTAAATAACCTATGGTGCATTCAGACGATGGAATATTATTCAGTGCTAAAATGAAATGAATTACACAGCCATGAAAATACATACAGAAAACTTAAATGCATATACTATGTGAAAGAAGACAATCTGAAAAGGCTATTTACCTTACGGTTGCAATTATATGACATTCTGGAAAAGGTAAAACTATGGAGACAGTGAAAAGATCAGTGGTTGCCAGGGGTTGGGGATGAATAAGTGAAGCACAGAGGATTTTTAGGGCACTGAAACTACTTATTTTTCTGTATGATGCTACAATGGCAGAAACATTTATGTTATTTTTTGAGATTGAGTCTCACTCTGTCGCCCAGAATGGAGTGCAGTGGTGCGATCTCTGCTCACTGCAACCTCCACCTCCCGGGTTCAAGCGATTCTCCTGCCTCAGCCTTCCATGTAGCTAAGACTACAGGCATGCGCCACCACACCCGGCTAATTTTTGTATTTTTAGTAGAGATGGGTTTTCGCCGTGTTGGCCAGGCTGGTCTCGAACTCCTGATCTCAAAGAGATCCACCCGCCTCCACCTCCCAAAGTGCTGAGATTACAGGCATGAGCCACTGCGCCGGGCCAGCCGATACGTTGTTGAATAGAGAATGGAGAATATCCAACGCCAAAAATGTGCTGTCAACTCTGGACTTTGATGAGGATATGTTGACGTGGACGCATCGACTGTCACACGTGCCACCTGGTGCAGGGCGTTGGTGGTGGGGGAGGCTGGGCGTAGGTATATGTGTGTGTGGCAGGGGGCATATGGGAACTTTCTGTATTTTCCACTCAGGAAAATTTTGCTGTAAACCCAAAACTGCTCTAAAAAGCAAATTTTATTATTTAAAAGATGATTTTAAAATTAATATATTTAAATTTTTAAAAGAATTAAGCACACATGGCACTAACGGGGCGGCTAGGGAGCCAACCATCCATCAGTTGTGAGGAAGGGGGAGGCCTGCAGGCATGAAGGAGCTGGTGAGACCGCCCTCACCTGGCTGCCAGAATCCCAATTCCATGAGGACCTTGTCATGTGACTCAAAGTCAGAGACAGCAGAAGGTCCAAAAGTTACAACTTACCTGAAACCCACCAGGCACTATTGGCAAAGGATTCACCCCCACCATGGAAGGCACGTGAGCGCTGTGGGTGCCCTGTGTCATCAACTGCGGAGAAAGGAAACCAGAAAGAGCAAAAGCAAAGCAGCGAGTGGGGAGCAGAACCGCCCCAAACCCAAGGTCCCTCCTCCCCTGTCCACCTTCACACACTAAGCAATGGAGGGAGCGGGAGGACAGAGCCTGTGTTTGATGGACAGCTCCTCCCGAGGCAGAGGAGAGGCCCAATACCTGGGAGAAGGCTGGGAGCTTGCTACCCCTGAAGGAGACCCGCAGATTGGAGGGAAGAGAGGAGCCAGGGACCCTCGTGGGAGAGGATGCATTAAAAGTAGGGCTGTCTGGGCCAGGTGTGGTGGCTCACACCTGTAATCCCAGCACTTTGGGAGGCCGAGGCAGGCAAGTCACCTGAGGTCAGGAGTTCAAGACCAGCCTGACCAACATGGTGAAACCCTGTTTCTACCAAAAATATAACAAATTAGCTGGGCGTGGTGGCGCACACCTGTAATCCCAGCTACTTGGGAGGCTGAGACAGGAGAATCCCTTGAAACCAGGAGGCGGAGCTTGCAGTGAGCCGAGATGGCACCACTGCACTCCAGCCTGGGTGACAGAGTGAGACTGGGTCTCAATAATAATAATAATAATAATAATGAAAGTAGGGCTGTCCAATTTAGCAAATGAAAATACAAGCAGCCCAGCTTAAATTTCAGATTAACCACAAATAATTGTTTTAGTTTAAAGATATCCCATGAACTATTTGGAACATTCTTGTATATTTTTAAGTGTTCACCGTTTATCCGAGGTTCTCATTTAAGTGGCTGTTCTGTGTTTTCTTGGTGAGCCCAGTCAAAGCCGCTGAGGCCCTGACAGCACGGGAGGAGGAGGCGTCCCAAGAAAGGAGAGGGCACCTGGGGACACCCTTCTCTAGCTGGACAGGGAGCTGCCCCTTCACGAGTGGGACAGTCAGAAGGACAAGGACACAACCATCCATTTTCGTCAGCTCATTCCCTGGCTACAAGTGGTCTGGATTCTGTCGCTTTGGCCCCTGGAATAAAATAACTGACTGACCCTTCCCCAGGGTGCCAGGTGTGAGTTTGCTTGGAAGAGAGAAGGGTGCAGACCCCCGACCCCTGCTGGTGGCAGCAGCTGGGACACCTTCAGTGGGCTCGAGAGTGGCAAAAGGAGCTATCTGGGGCAAAGCTTGGCCAAAGACACAGACTCCCTTGCCCATTCTTCCCTGCTTCAAAGGAGCCTTCCAGAAACTCCCCACAGGCCTGAAGTAAGTGGCTTAATGACTGGGATGATGAGTGATAGGTCACTGGCATGATGCACCCCTTTACGCATTTACTGGCACCAGAAAGTGATATCATGGCCACTATTAAAGTGTGGGGCGCACCCACGGAATTCGTTTCCATTCAAATGCTTTGCATACTTTGGTGGCCAATCCCCCTCTCAAGGGATGAAGGCAGGACTGGCTGTGGCAGAAGCTTCAGATGAGGTCTCTGGTCAGAGAAGTTCCACCTCACGTTGTCTTCATCATTGCTGTGGAGTTTCGCCGTCTCAGAGCTCACACCAAGTCACAGGTGACTTTAGACAGGCCATCTTGTTTAGGTCCATGCTTAAATTTGTCTTTATAAAACGTGGCATTTTTACCTCATATACACACACTTTAGAATCTTAAATAGCTGGAGAGTTTTCTCCAGGGACTTCTGGCTCCTGTTAGCTTGGTAACATTACTCCTGCTAACTTTGGTCATCTCCAGTAATACAGGCGTGCACACACACACACACACACACACACACACAGTCTCTCTTCCTCTTTATTGTCCCCCCCCAACCCACCCACATGCAATCATAATGATACATTTTAGTTCCCAAATGCTTCTAATTTGTGTTGTTCTTGTTGACGTTTTGAGACACGGTCTCGCTCTGTCACCAGGCTGGAGTGCAGTGACGCAATCTCAGCTCACTGCAACCTCCGCCTCCCAGGTTCAAGTGATTCTCCTGCCTCACCCTTTTGAGTAGTTGGGATTACAGGCACCTGCCACTATGCCCAGCTAATTTGTGTATTTTTAGTAGAGACAGGATTTCACCATGTTGCCTGGGTTGGTCTCAAACTCCTGGCCTCAAGTGATCCGCCTGCCTCGGCCTCTCAAAGTGCTGGGATTACAGGCATGAGCCACCGCACCCAGTCTCTAATTTGTGTATCCCATATTTTACAGATTTTTTAAGCTAGTCAAATTTTACAATTTTTTTACTTCCAAAAATAGCAGTAATCAGCATCATATGTACATGTCCGTGTCCTCATATGTAGTAATTAAGATTACATGAGCCACTGTATTAAGTATCACCCACTTGAGGAAATACAAAGCAAGAGAAGAAAACCTATTTAAGAATTGGGTTTATATAACAGTGGTGTTGTCATTTTTGTAAACTGCTCTCCATTCATGCCAAATTATAGAGCAGCTTCGGAACAATTATATCATTAAATTTACGTTTTGTGTGATTTCAGTACTGAATGCCCTTTTCTTAACTTTCAGAGCCCACTGAAAGTTTCGGGGCTCACGTGGCCCACCATTGTCCCAGTCACTCAGCAAACACATCAGTGCCCTCATGTGGAGGGCTCCACGCCAGCTTCTGTGATGACAGAGGTGAATACTACCGGCTGCTTGTCCTCGAGCACGTACAATGTAACAAACTTGTAAATAAAATAAGCACATTATAATACAGCATGTTAAGTGTTACAACAGAAACACAAGAGACCAGAAAATCAGCACCTCTGTAGGGAATCTGATGAAGTCATGGAGAGGTGCCATCTGAACTGGGCTTTGAGGAATGAATAGGAGTTTTCCAGGTGAAGGGACCAGGGGGAGGAATCATGATGGGCAGACGCTCCAGATGAAAGCAGGTGTGCCTGGGGTTAGCGAGCTGCTTCCTGTGCAAGCAGCATAGGATATGGAAGATGGGGCCGTGACCTGGAGCTAAGATAGTTGGCTGAGGCCATATCATGAAGACCCTTGCATACGAAGGTGGGGATTCCATCCTGGAGGTAGGAACAGGAGTAGCTTTGATTTGGGAGAGGAAAGCTCTGCAGATGGTGTAAAAGGTAGGTTGGAGTTAAAAAAATTTTTTTTAAGTTCCATTTTAAGAAAAAAGAAGATAAAATAACATTTCATGAATTTTTTTCTGTCCTAATAAATATATGTTTCAACAATGCTTCTGTAGCTTGCGTAAAATAACGCTATAGTGTTTAAGCAAACTGTTACATGGGGAGATTTGAGGTTACTTGTGTTTTGTTTTGCCTTTTTCATCTATGAGTTATTGTAAACAGTTAGGCACAGATTCTAAATTACTTCCTTAAGATAAATCAGTAACGAAACTGCTGAGTTAAAGGTATGTACATTTTTCGGGCTTTAAATAAATCAGTTAAATTGTCCTCCGGAAAGGTTGTACCAATTTCTTCCCTACTAGGAGTGTTTAAGAATGCCCGTTTGCCCAGCACCCAGTATAGATCAGTACAGACATACAATAAGCAATATCTCACTGTATTAATGGACCTGTTTTTGCTACTGAAGTCACACGTTCTTTTTCATGGGGGGTGGTGGCGGGAGGAGAGGACATTTGTATTTCTTCTTTTGTGAATTACCTGTTGCCATTTACCCATTTTTCTACTGGTACGTTTGCCTTTTTATTTTCTTGCGCTGTAAGAGTTCTCTATATATTAAGGGCATCCTGTTGTTGCTATATGCGGTGTAAATAAGTTCTTTCAACTTATTATTGCTGTACGTGTCTAACTTCAATCCCTGGGAGAAGAGACAGATTTGAATCCTCCACGGCACATAGCTCAGTCTCTCTTCTGCGGCAGCTGCCCAACATATATGCCAAGATGAGCGAATTATTTTTGTCCAAGCTACTTTATGAAACTCATTCTGCTCCACTCCAGAAATGGAAGGGATCCATCAAACGTTCAGACTCCCCTTGCTCACAGCAGCATCAACACAGTCTCCTTGTTTCCTTCATTCATCTAACAAATGTTTACTGAGCCCCTGGTATGTGCCAGGTACTGTTCTTGGCACTAGGGAAACCATAATGGGCAAAATCTTTCATTCTAGTTGGAGGACTCAGATAATAAAGAAAACAAAATATGTATGACGTTCAATTGTGATCAGCACTATAAAGTACGTCAAAGTACAGAAGGGGAGACTGAATTTGTAGGCAGCATGGTCATGGTAGACCTCGCTGAGAAGGGGCATGAAGGTGGAGGTAGAGGGTTTAGACAAGTGGATATGTAGAGGAGAAGGCTTCTGAGCAGACTAAGCAATGCACAGAAAGGTCCCAAGGCAAGAGCAGGCCCAGCGCATTAAAGGGACAAGAAAGACGTCCATGTGGCTGCGGTGCAGTCAGCAAATTAAGGAGGCAGGGGAGGGGCGCAGGTCGTGCACGGCTTTGCAGCTGTTGTCAGAGCTTTTCTTCTGAGTGAAATGGGAGGATTGGAGCAAAGAAGTGGTGTGTTCTGCCTTATGTTGTAAAAAGACAGCCCTGGCTGACACACTGGGACTAGACTGGGGTGGGGGCTGAGCTGGAAACAGGGAGACCTGTAGTAGTGCAGGTGAGAGATGATGGCATCGTGGACCATCTCGGTGGTAGCACTGGAGATGCTGAGGAGGGGCCACATTCTGGGCACAGTTTGATGGCCTTAGAGCCAGCAGAATTTCCTGGTGCAAAATGTGAGAGGAGAATAAAGAACGGTGCTGAGGATTTCGGCCTGAGCACCTGAAGGATGCAACTGACGTTAACTGAGATGGGGAAGATGCAGGTGGGGCAGGTCCAGAGGAAAAGATCAGAACTTCGATTTTAGAAATGTGGAGGCCAGGAGCAGTGCTCATTAACTGGAATCCCAGCACTTTGGGAGGCCGAGGTGGGTGGATCACTTGAGGTCAGGAGTTTGAGACCAGGCTGGCTGACACGGTGAAACTCCGTCTCTACTAAAAATACAAAAAATTAGCCGAGCATGGTGGTGGCACCTGTAGTCCCAGATACTCAGGAGGCTGAGGCAGGAGAATCACGTGAACCCAAGAGGTGGAGCTTGCAGTGAGCTGAGATCACGCCACTGCACTCCAGCCTGGGTGACAGAGCCAGGCTCCTTTCCATCTCAAAAAGAAAAAAAAAAAGAAAGAAATGTTGAATGTGAGGTATGTATTTCATCAACATCCAAGTGGAGAGATTAAGAATTGAAATGAATACACAGTATACATTAATAATAATAGCTGTATATAAGGCTGGGCACAGTGGCTCATGTCTGTAATCCCAGCACTTTGCGAGTCTGAGGCAGGAGGACTGCTTGAGCTCAGAAGATCGAGACCAACCTGGTCAACATGGTAAAGCCCCTTTTTTACAAAACAAAGTACAAAAATTAGCCAGCTGTGGTCCCAGCTCCTCAGGAGGCTGAGGTGGGAGGATCACTGGAGCTGGGAGGTGGAGGCTGCAGTGAGCCATGGTCGCACCACTGCACTGCAGTTTGGGTGAGAGTGAGACCCTGTCTCAATTTTAAAAAATAAATCGTTGTATCTAAGAGGTGGGATTATAGAAAAGTTTTTCTTTCTCCTCTTCCCACTTCTTACTTTGCTTGGTCTTTGGAATATTTCAAAATTTTGAAATCATAAACAAGTTTTACTTTTATTTTAAATTTATTTATTTATGAGACAGAGTCTTGCCCTTTTGCCCAGGCTGGGGTGCAGTGGTAGGATCTTGGGTCACTGCAACCTCTGCCTCCCGGGTTCAAGTGATTCTCCCGTCTCAGCCTCCTGGGTAGCTGGGATTACTGGCACCTGCCACCACACCCAGCTAATTTTCGTGTTTTTAGTAGAGACGGGGTTTCACCATGTTGGCCAGGCTGGTCTCAAACTCCTGACCTCGTGATCCACCGGCCTCGGCCTCCCAAAGTGCTGGGATTACAGGCGTGAGCCACTGAGCCTGGCCAAGTTTTACTTTTATAATAAAAAGTAAACCATATTAATTTTTTTAAAAAATAATAGCATGTAAGTTATAACATATAAGAGGAATAATTGAGGCTTGTGTCCAGAACTTGAAATTTAAATTTAGGTCAATTCCACATTCTCTGCGATCCCACTGCAGGCCAGACACTCTGCTAGTTCAGGGGATACTGAGATGAACAAAGGTGGTCCCTGCCCTGCCACAGCGGGCTGTTCGACAGGCTCCAGGCCCGTTTCAGTAAATGCTATCATCAAAGTCCAAACCAAGACCTGGGGGAGTAGAAGGAGGAGGTAGCAGTGAGACTATACACAATCCCTGTACTATAAAAATGGCGAAAGCATGCAGATCAATAGACAGCCTCTGGGCCACACTGAGTGAATTTTAATGCAGGATGGAAGCACACAGATGGGTGATCAGGTCTCTCTTTACTGAAACACAGAACATGTGCCAAGGTGAGTCCAAGGACACCTCTGGGAACAGGTGAAGCCCCTCCCCATACATACACTCCGGTGGATGTGAGCGAGGGTCCTGTTGCCACATCTGGGGTTAGGGGCTTGGACATGCTGCCCTTCATGGGAACCTTCTGGGTACCTCTCAGCACAGTAACGCAGCTGCAGTCTGTCGGTGGGGGCCCAGGCTAGGGGCAGCACCCTCTTTTGGCATACGGGACATGCCTGGCTGCAGCTGATGTCCGTTAGCCTCTCCTGACACGCAGTAAGGAGACCTGGAAGTGAGGCGCGTGGGCGTGGAGTTCCCGGTGGAGCTGGAGAGCAAAAGAGCCAGCTGTCCTTTCAGCCCATCTGGCCCATGAGCTCGCCAGAGGCAGAGGACAGGAAGGGACACTGGGGCAGAGTGCATGCGGAGGACGGCAACCCTTCCTGGGCCTCCTACATGCTGGACACAGGCTGGTGCCTCACACACATTATGTCATCTAAACCTCACAGCAACCTTATAAAGCAGGTGTTAGGATCCTCATTTTATAAGGGATGAAAGTCGCATAGAATAACTTATCCAAGATCACACAGTTGGGAACTAGAATTCACACCCAGATCTAGCTGGTTCCTAAGCTCATTGTCTAATCCCTGAGCCCAAACTGTTGGGCTGTCCCCGGACGAGAACTGATGCCCAACCCCATGTGGCCTGGTGCCTGCGCCTCAGCTGCCTGACCTGCTCCTGATCTCCCGGTTTCTTTCCGATTCCTGAAATCATTTCTGGTTTGGGGGCTTAGACCTGAGATTCAAAACTGGCTTCCCAGCCGGGTGCGGTGGCTCACGCCAATAATCCCAGTGCTTTGGGAAGCAGAGGCAGGTGGGTCACCTGAGGTCAGGAGTTCGAGACCAGCCTGACCAACATGGAGAAACCCCATCTCTACTAAAAATACAAAAATTAGCCAGGAGTGGTAGTGTGCACCTGTAATCCCAGCTACTAGGGAGGTTGAGGCAGGAGAATTGCTTGAATCCGGGAGGCGGAGGTTGCAGTGAGCCGAGATCGTGCCATTGCACTCCAGCCTGGACGACAGAGCGAGAATCTGTCTCAAGAAAAATAAAAGAAAAGAAAAGAAAAAGAAAAAGAAAAAGAAAACTGGCTTCCCAGCCGGGCGCAATGACTCAACGCCTGTAATCCCAGCACTTTGGGAGGCTGAGGTGGGTGGATCATGAGGTCAAGAGTTCAAGACTAGCCTGGCCAAGATGCTGAAACCTGAAACTCCATCTCTACTAAAAATACAAAAATTAGCCAGGTATGGTGGTGCGGGCCTGTAATCCCAGCTACTCAGAAGGTTGAGGCAGGAGAATGGCTTGAACCTGGGAGGCGGAGGTTGTGGTGAGCCAAGATCGCACCACTGCACTCCAGCTTGGATGACAGAGTGAGACTCAGTCTCAGAAAACAAAACAAAACAAAAGCAATTGGCTTCCCTCTCCCACAAGGATTCACACTCGCTACTTTGATTATCACATGCCGGGGGCATTTGTCACTTATTTGGCCATCGGGTGTCGAGCCCCCGTGCCATGTTTAGGGAACTCCTTACAGTGGGAGTCACGATCGGCCTCACTGCTGCTAAGAGAACTCCAAGGACGCAGACATCCCTTCTTCCCGTCCCCTGGCACCTGGCTGTGGGCTCATGGGAGTACAAGGGCTAAGCTCGGCCTATCAAATGTTCCTACTCAGGACTTTGGCTCTGGAGCAAAAAGTCCAGTGAGACAAAAAGGCAGCGAGAACCTATGTGAATGTGTGTGCAGGCCACGTGATGCCCCTTGGCTGTGGCAGCATCCAATAGTGACTGACCAGCAAGAGGGACAGTGTCCCAGCCAGCCTGATCCCACTGTCTGGACCCCAGAGCTCCTGGGGGCCCTCCTGCCTATTTTCCAAGCCTGCTGTCCTGGCATTGCTTTGATTCTATGCACTCTGGGACGCTGCCAACAAATCCCCCTTTTACTTACGACAGACAGAGGTTTTCTTTCGCCTGCAACAAAGGATCCCACTCTCCACGGACATATCTTGCTTCCCTCTGCTAAGGGCAATCATTCCACCTGTCCAGCCTGGCTATGAACTCTACACCTGGCATAAGACCCCCAGCCAGCATCTCTGCCAGGTTTACCCTTGCAAGGGATGACAGGAAGCCTGAGCCACTTTTCAGCAGTGTGGCACCCATTGACTGTGAGAGGTGCTGAATGCAAGCTTCAGGTATTAGCAAGGGCACTGTCCCATTGACTGTGAGAGGTGCTGAATGCAAGCTTCAGGTATTAGCAAGGGCACTGTCAAAGAGGCAATCCACATTAGACTGTGCACTGGGCCTGTTTTCACGGTTACATCTGTGAGCAGAGCTTAGACACTTCCCATCATGCCCCATCTGCTACTTTGTACCACACATTAGGAGAACAACCCACCCCTCAGTAAGGCCAGGCCCGTGACATCTGCACTGAGCTGACCCAGTCTAACCTCCAACAAGCCACACCATCCCCATCCTCAAAACCCTGACCCCGGAACTTTACCATTGGAAGTTCTATCCAGTGGGTTTTAGGAGAATTTTCCCAACTTGTACAAATACATCCCAATCATGGTCCTCATCTAGAGTATACATCTCTGCGGTTTTTTCTGCCTAGCCTCCCTATTTTCTTGGGGCTCATCCTTCCTCTATGGGATCCTGACTGGGTTGTCAGTCATGGTGACCCTTGCAGGCCATGGAGACCTGCACTTCCCCAGATGACATGAAAATTTGGGGAGAGGGGGCCGGGTGCGGTGGCTCATGTCTGTAATCCCAGCACTTTGGGAGGCCAAGACGGGTGGATCACGAGGTCAGGAGATTGAGACTATTCTGGCTAACACGGTGAAACCCCGTCTCTACTAAAAAAAAAAACATAAAAATTAGTTGGGCGTGGTGGCGGGCGCCTGTAGTCCCAGCTACTTGGGAGGCTGAGGCAGGAGAATGGCGTGAACCCAGGAGGCGGAGCTTGCAGTGAGCTGAGATCGCACCACTGCACTCCAGCCTGGGCGACAGAGCGAGACTTCGTCTCAAAAAACAAAAAGAAAGAAAGAAAAAGAAAAAAGAAAAGAAAATGTGGGGAGATGGAAGTCCCTTGTGAATCTATGGCTAACAAGGCTGCCTTTTCATACACATGAAGAAAGACTCTGAAGAATGAAGGGAGTAAAGCTAAGACAGGGAAAGAAAGAGAAAGTCCCTGTGATGGCGTTGGAGCTGCTGGATCCAGCCGTACTGAAGCTGAAGAGACACTTGTAGGTTTCTCAGACCTTGCCTTTTTTTTTTTTTTTTTTTTTTTTGCATAAACTGCCCTGACTTGGGTTTCTGCCACTTGCAACCAAGAGTCCGACCTACCCTCCCATCAGTATCACTGACCTTTGCCTCAGAGGCCAGAAGGCCAAGCTTCCAAGGACCAGAAGAAACTGGGGGCTCTAGGAGTCACATGTTTACATTGCAGAGAAGGAAATGAAGAACTCGGAGAAGGCAGGCAGAAGCAAAGCCAGGCAGAGATCCTCAGATTCAGCTCCCAATTCTCCGTAAGAAACGAGACTCCCTTCCAAGTGCGGTAGCTGCTCTTCTGTGTCCTGCGGGTCTTCCCTGCAGCCCCTGCGAACCTCGCCCCTTCCTCTACTCCCCTGGCCCGGAAAGTGCCCACTCACCTGCTGCATCAGCCTTTCTGCCACTCTGGGGTCAGTGAGGTCTTCCGGGGAAGCCACACTCAGCCGCAGGAGGAGGAAACCTCCATTTTCACCTGCAAATGGAGAACAGTAAGATGAAAATCAGGGCTGGGCGCAGTGGCTCACACCTGTCATCCCAGCACTTTGGGAGGCAGAGGCAGGTGGATCACCTGAGATCGGGAGTTTGAGACCAGCCTGACCAACATGGAGAAATCCCGTCTTTACTAAAAACACAAAATGAGCCGGGCATGGTGGTGCGTGCCTGTAATCCCAGCTACTCAGGAGGCTGAGGCAGGAGAATCGCCTGAACCTGGGAGGCGGAGGTTGTGGTGATCTGAGATCGCAGCACTACACTCCAACCTGGGCAACAAGAGCGAAACTGTCTCAAAAAAAAAAAAAAAAAAAAGAGGAGGATGAAATAGTCACATATATTTGCTTCCGTATGTACATTTCATGTGCAGAAAATTACACACAAGAGACAATCTCACGGGTTACATGTGTGGAGAGAACTGGGTGGGGGCACAGCCAGGGGAGAAAGGCATTTTATGGTGAACCTTTTCGTACCTTTCCATTTCAAATCATATGAATGTCTTATCTAATCAACAAATAATAAAGTATTTTTCTTTCCAGGGAAAAGAAGGAGCGATCAGACTGTCACTGTGTCTCTGTAGAAAGGAAAGACATGAGACTCCATTTTGAAAAAGACCTGTACTTTAAACAAGCTTTGCTGAGATGTTGTTAATTTGTAACTTTGCCCCAACCTTGAGCTCATAAAAACATGTGTTGTATAAAATCAAGGTTTAAGGGATCTAGGGCTGTGCAGGACGTGCCTTGTTAACAAAATGTTTACAAGCAGTATACTTGGTAAAAGTCATCGCCATTCTCTAGTCTCAATAAACCAGGGGCACAATGCACTGTGGAAAGCCGCAGGGACCTCTGCCCTTGAAAGCAGGGTATTGTCCAAGCTTTCTCCCCATGTGATAGTCTGAAATATGGCCTCGTGGGATGACAAAGACCTGACCGTCCCCCAGGCTGACACCCGTAAAGGGTCTGTGCTGAGGTGGATTAGTAAAAGAGGAAAGTCTCTTGCAGTTGAGATAGAGGAAGGCCACTGTCTCCTGCCTGCCCCTGGGAACTGAATGTCTCGGTATAAAACCCGATTGTACATTTGTTCAATTCTGAGACAGGAGAAAAACCACCCTGTGGCGGGAGGTGAGACATGTTTGCAGCAATGCTGCTTTATTATTCTTTACTCTGCTGAGATGTTTGGGTGGAGAGAAACATAAATCTGGCCTACGTGCACATCCAGGCATAGTATCTTCCCTTGAACTTAATTATGACACAGATTCTTTTGCTCACATGTTTCTTGCTGACCTTCTCCTTATTATCACCCTGCTCTCCTACTACATTCCTTTTTGCTAAAATAATGAAAATAATAATCAATAAAAACTGAGAAAACTCAGAGACTGGTGCCGGTGCAGGTCCTTGGTATGCTGAGCGCCGGTCCCCTGGGCCCACTGTTGTTTCTCTATACTTTGTCTCTGTGCCTTATTTCTTTTCTCAGTCTCTCATCCCACCCGACTAGAAATACCCACAGGTGTGGAGGGGCAGGCCACCCCTTCACTTTCCAGAGCAGTTTAGCTACCATCTTCAACCCTGTCAGATGGGGTCGTGTTACCCACCTCCTAAGGCTGTTTTGAAGGTTAAATAGAGGAGATAACATATGCAAAGCTGGTGGCACACTGCCTGGCATCATAACATATGCAAAGCTGGTGGCACACTGCCTGGCATCAGATAACATATGCAAAGCTGGTGGTACACTGCCTGGCATCAGATAACATATGCAAAGCTGGTGGTATACTGCCTGGCATCAGATAACATATGCAAAGCCGGTGGCACACTGCCTGGCATCAGATAACATATACAAAGCCGGTGGCACACTGCCTGGCATCAGATAACATATGCAAAGCTGGTGGCACACTGCCTGGCACCGGAGAGAACGTTCTGCTGGGGCCAGTGCTTACTGGGTGTGAAACATGTTTATATCACCCCTGCCTATAACATGAAAGATATTCAATAATATCTTTATGTATTGAGTGGTTGTGATTAATATTTGTATTCCCACCTCCCCCAGAAAGGTGGTAACAAGCTGCGGATACACAGAGATGAGGCCCAAGGGCAGAGTGACAGGAAGTGGAGGTGGAGGCTACAGGCTGACCAGAAGCTGGACTGACCAAGCAGCCTCTGACAATGAACTTCTCCCCTGAGAAGTCCCTGTTGCCTCAGAGATGTAGCTTTAAACTCCCAAGCCTTCGCTGTATTTGCTTATTTTATCTTACCTTTTTTTTTTGAGACGGAGTTTCACTCCGTCTCAGCTCACTGTAACCTCCACCTCCCGGGTTCAAGTGATTCTCCTGCCTCAGTCTCCCAAGTAGCTGGGATTACAGGCGCCCACCACTGCGCCCAGCTAATTTTCATATTTTTAGTAGAGATGGGGTTTCACCATGTTGGTCAGCCTGGTCTCGAACTCCTGACCTCAGGTGATCCGCCGGCCTCTGCCTCCCAAAGTGCTGGGATTACAGGCATAAGCCACCGCTCCAGGCCTGTATTAATTTATTTTAAGTCACTATCTATGGCATAAATCCCAGGAAATGCATCCAGCAGGCCCCACTTTCATGGGGTCCCAGCCTGTCAGAGAGCAGCAGCTTGGGCCTGATGCCTGCCTGCTGCTCCTCTGTGTGGCTATGGCTGGAATAGAAGCTTCCAGAGCTGCTCAACAGTGCACTTCACAGAAGGTCAGAGCTGGACAGGACTTCAGTGCCCATTCCAACCCTCTCCAAATACAGGTGGAGAAACTGAGGCCCAGAGAGGGACAGGGACTTGCCCAAGGTCACTCGGGTTGTTACAGGCAGAGCCGAGACCGCAAACCATTTCTCCGGACTTCCATCCCCACCCCTTTCCATACACAACCCTCCATCTGCCTTTTCCTGATTTCGCCAAGAACCACTAGAAGATCACGAAGAGGCAACAGCAGGAGCAGGCTCTGAGTAGGCTCCAGATCCTTCCCTCCTCTCCACTCCTCAAGTGCGGAGACGTCCTGGAAACTCCGCATCCCAAATCCCCGAAGATCACCAGCAGGAGCCACTTACCTGCACTCACGTCTGTGGTCGGCCTCGTCCGGGCAGTCGTGGGCGTGGCTGTTGGGGGCTTCATCGTGGTCTTCGCTGAGGTTGTGATCTTGGCTAAGGTGCTGTTCGTCCCTCGGCTGCTGTTGGTTGTAGTCGGAGGGACAGAAGGAAGAGGGTCCCTGCTGGTGGGGAAGGGCCCCTTGGTTGCGATGTCCATGGTCGGTGTCTCTGAAGGGGTGAAGTTCTTGAGGGCGGCTTCCGAGGGGCTGTAGGAGGAAGCAGAGCTCCCAGCAAAGGAAGTTGTTTTGCCCACTGCTGACCCAGCCTCTATGGAGACCGGAGCTGCTCCTGAGACTTTGACGTAACTTGGTGTCTCAACAGAGAGGGCTGAGGTTTCTTCCAGGGGATTCCTGCTAACTGTGACCAGAGCTCCACTGAGGGTCGTGGCCCCGGGTGCTGTCACTTCTCTTTCTGTGGCGCTGTTAGTGGGGAGTGGGGTCCCAACCGTGGCATGAGGTGCAGCTGACTCTGTGGTGCCGGCTGTGGACAGGGTCTCGGCAGAGGCTGTGACCTCAGTGATGTGTGGTTTTGCTTCAGTGGAGTCAGGCAGAGCTGGTGGATCGGAGGTGGACGAGGCCTTCACCCCTTCCGTGGGGATGAGATCTATGTCTGAGGCCCCAGGGATGCTGGAAGTTGTTGTTTCTATTTCTGTGATGCTGCAATTAATAACCTCGATGTTTGTGACAGTCACCAGGGCTTCAGCGAGGAGAGTGACATCAGATCCCGGGGACCATGACGGGGTGATGACTGGATGGGGGCCGTCGGAAGAGGCGCTGCTCTCTGAGGCCCGTGACGGGGTGATGACTGGATGGGGGCCGTCGGAAGAGGCGCTGCTCTCTGAGGCCCGTGACGGGGTGATGACTGGATGGGGGCCGTCGGAAGAGGCACTGCTCTCTGAGGACAGGCCCTTAGCTTCTGTGGAGGTGTGAGCCAATGTCAATATGTCCATTGTGAGTGTCTTTGCCTCTTCAGAGCTGTCATCGGTGCAAAGGGTGTCAAAGATGGCTTCCTCGGGATCACTGCCTGTGATGGTCTGAACTGTGGTCATTCCAGCTCCCTCGGGGCTGCCACTGGCGGCTGATGTCTCCACGGAGGTGGCGATCAGCACCATGAAGTTGGGAGATGTTTTTGTGAAACTCCTGGTCTCTCTTGCAGGGGAAATTCTCTTGGCTCCCCTGGTCTCTGCTTCTGGAATGGGGCCGGCTGGGGTTGAGGCCCTAGAAGAGGTCTCAGCGCTCAGCGTTTGAGTTTCCAGAGCGGCGTGGCCCGGTGCTAGAGTCATAGCGGGCACTTCTGTGTCGTCCGTTGTCATCGCAGTGTCTGCTCTGCGGGTGCTGGGGCCTGTGTTGGTTAAGACTGACTTGGTGAGCCTGGGTTCCAGTGGACTTCACACAAGCTATTGCATTTACACCCTGGGCACTTCTGGGAGGAGGGTGGGGCAGGGGAGTGCCGTTACCTCATTTTTCATCTACATAAGCGAACAAGAAGGAGGCAGTCCTGGGAAGCCCAGGCCTGTGTGGCAGCCATGGAGCTGGGGTTGCCATGACTGGCGTCCTCTGAAACCCTGACAACTCACTTGGGGCCAGCAAGCCCCAGGATCTGCTGGCTATCGGCCTGCGTCTTTAAGAGGGGATGTGTGGGGCCAGCGTCCACCTTCCAGGGTGAGCCAAGAAGGCAGACCAGCGTCCAGGACTCGCAGAGCTTTCTGAACCTCTGTCGCCTTCCCCGGGTACTTTTCTCATCCAACACATAGTTCCCCATGGAAGTAAAAAACCCTTAAAAGACGAGAAAGGCCTATGATTGTGCCTTTCGGGGTAGCTGGGTGGATTGAGGCGGGGGAACCTCCAGAGACAGGGTGGGCAGTGCTGCTGCCAAAGCGAGGGAGCCGGCAGAGTCCTTGGGGCTCCGGCAAGGGAAAGACGGCACCCCCCACCCTGCCGAGGCCCCTCCTGAATGAGGGCCGAGAACTGCAGGGTTGGAGCCTGGGAACCATGGAAACCGTGGCCAGGCATTTTCCACAGGACACCGGGAGCCCCTGAGGCAACACCTAGCTTTTCAGAGAGCGGCTGCCGGCACTTCTGCCCAGAGCAGAGGCCTGTTCCCTTGACTGGCCCTGAGGTGGGAGGAATGGGAGTCCCCGAGGGAGGCTACGGTAGGATATCTTCCCTAGAGACAGGGTCTTGCTCTGTTGCCCAGGCAGGTCTTGAATTCCTGGGCTCAAGCGATCCTCCTGCCTCAGCCTCTTGAGTAGTTTACTACAAGATCTTTTCTGGCCTGAGAAAGGGGGCCTCCCCTGTCTAGAGGGAGATCGGGCTCTCCCTGTGAGTGGGCCAAGGAGCCTCTTGGAGAGGGTTTCTAGATTTAGCAAATAAAAATACAGGGTACTCGGTTAAATTTGAACTCGCAGTTCAGATAAATGACGAATAACTTTTTAGCATGAGTATTTCTCATGCAATATTGGCTACGTACTTACACTTAAAAAAAAATTGTTACCTGAAATTCAAATGTAACTGGATGCCCTGTGTTTTATCTGGTAATCCCAGTCTTGGAAGGAAAAGGATCAAATACGAACCCCCTAATTCTCTGAGCCTTCTTGGTGCAGCCCACACAGCTGGAAGCCCAAAGGTGGCGCTCTTGGAGTCTGACCTCCCCTGGCACAGGGTTTGAGATGGTCTTTACCCGGCTCCACTGGCCCAAAAGTAGCTCATAGACCCAAAAGAGGCCTAGCACCTCTCCCCAGGACGTCAGGATGGGGCTCCAGGTCCCCAGCTGGTTGTCCTGTGGACCTCAGGGAATGACGAGGCAGGAGTCAAGAGCCTCGGTTGCAGCTCCCGCTGTGCCGCCCACGACCGGCTCTGGGGTCAGATGATCTGCTGGTTCAAATCCTGACTCAGCCTCCTACTAGCCAGGCCAGTCTCTAGACCCCTCCCAGCCTCCATGTCCTCACCTGAGAAAACAGGGTCACAATACCTGCCTTGCCAACGTGGTGAGGACCAGCGGAGAAGATGAAAGGGCTTATATTCCAAAGCCCACAAGGTAAGCATCCCTCCCCATGGAGTCCTCTCCCGGGCCCCTGGAAAGCACGCATAGTCGATTTGACTATAGTGAGGAGTGCGGGCTGCACCCCCAGGCAGTATAGGCGAGTCCCGGGCACCCACTCTCATCCCTGGTCCAGTGCGGCCCAGCTGCACACACAAATCTCACCTTTGCAGGAACTGTTCGTCTGCCTTCATAATACAGTTTCTTCTCCCCACTTCAAGCCTGAGATCATTTCTCTGAGCCTTCTTGGTCCAGCCCACACAGCTGGAAGCCCAGAGTGGTGCCCTTGGAGCCCGACTTCCCCTGGCACATTTTCTGGCTTATCCAGGAGCCCCGGGGTGTCCTTTCTGCTGTGAAACCTCCTCATGCTCCCCAAGCCCACAGCCTCTCGGGTCCAAGGGGGTCTTCTCGAATACAGCAAATCCCAGCCCAGCCCCCTCAGTAGCTCTGGAACACTGCGGCTCTCCTGGTACAATCTTCAAATCTGGTGGAGAGGAAAGCGTGTGGACTTGGGACCCTGAGTTGGAGAATCTGCTCTCTGCCCTGTGACCCTGGCCAAGTCTCTCAGCTCCAAGCCTGCATTTCCGCACCTGTAAGGTGGAGCTAACGGGACACGTGCAGCGCAGACCAGGCCACGGTGAGCACAGGCAGGAGGCCACGGGGTGCAGTGCTCAGGCCTGTGAGGAGTCAGATTCTGGCTCCGAGGAGTTGTTACTGGATGCCCAGAAGCACAGTGGCCTCATCCTTAAAGCAGTGGAGGTGGGGGGTGGTAAGAACAGGGCCGATCTTGCAGGGCCGTTGTGAGGATTAAAAATACAATGTATGATAATGATGCATCAAAGTAGGTTCCTCAGTCCTATCAAATGTGCCACTCTGGTGGGGGACGCTGATGATGGGGGAGGCTGTGAGTGGTGGGGATGGGAACTCCAGACTCTCCACTGCAGCTTTTTTTTTTTTTTGAAACACAGTTTCACTTTTGTTGCCCAGGCCAGAGCGCAACGGTGCGATCTCAGCTCACTGCAAACTCCACCTCCCAGGTTCAAGCAATTCTCCTGCCTCAGCCTCCCGAGTAGCTGGGATTACAGGCACCTGCTACCACCCCCGGCTAATTTTGTATTTTTAGTAGAGACGGGGTTTCTCCATGTTGGTCAGGCTGGTCTCGAACTCCTGACCTCAGGTGATCCACCCACCTCAGCCTCCCAAAATGCTGGGATTACAGGTGTGAGCCACCACGCCCGGCCTCTCCACTCGAGGTTTAGAGGGAGCATAGAACTGCTCTAAAAAAAAAATAAATCCTTTTCTATTTTTTAATGTATGTGATGAGTTTGGCACAACTCCTATTAGCGACAGGTCAGGGTTCATTCCCGTCTTTCACAAAAGCCCTGCCTGTCAGCATCCACCCTTCCCAAGCAGTTTGTGGCAGTTGGACTTTTCACACGAAATCTGTATTTTGAAGGAAATCCATGCTAGGTAATAAACTGGGAGGAGTCAGAATCTTGTTAAGCCACATTCTTCAGCTTTCTGCACAATGATCACCAGCTGGCACCTCCCTGCACCCCCGCTCCGTGCCCCACTTACTGTCCCACGTTCATAAACAGAAACTCTCAGCCACCCCTTACGATGGCAGCGTCATGTTTGATTAGTGTGTACTGCAGCGCCAGGCACGCTTACACTCACACACATCGTCATGGTTGATTAGTGTGTACTGCAGCGCCATGCACGCTTACACTCACTCACACTGTCATTTGCACACTCTTTATCAACAATAATAGCACTTCACAAGTAGCACTGTGGTTCATTATAATCAACCCGAGAGAGCCTGCCCTTGCCCATGAAGGGTGGCTCATACTGAAATTCACTCCCAGAGCCCTACTAGGGGAGAGGCCCACCAGGCCCTTCTAGGCCTCCTTACCTGCAGAGCTCCCAGAGACCCCAACCTCCCAGCAGAAGAAGAAAAGGGGCAGAGCCAGACCCCAGAGACAGCCCATCCTAGCCGGCCACCGCTGCTCCACAGAACTGCTGGCTGTCTCTCGCGGGTACCTTTTCCTGCTTCCTCAAACCAGGGAGGAGGGGCAGCCTCCTGCCCAGGTGTGTGACCAGGTGATCACAAATGTGCAGGCTGAGGGCTGGCAGGTTGAGGCTGTCAGCAAGCTGACCCCCCTGCCTTCCTTGCCCGGTAAACACTCCACTGAAATTTGATTTGAAGATATGGAATCACTAGCTTTTTTTTTTTTTTTTGAGATGGAGTCTTGCTCTGTCACCCAGGCTGGAGTGTACAGTAATGAGATCTCAGCTCAATGAAACCTCTTCCTCCCGGGATCCAACAATTCTCCTGCCTCAGCCTCTGGAGTAGCTGGGATTATAGGCGCGCACCACCACGTCCGGCTAATTTTTGTATTTTTAGTAGAGATGGGGTTTCACCATGTTGGCCAGGCTAGTCTCAAACTCCTGACCTCAGGTGATCTACCTACCTCAGCCTCCCAAAGTGCTGGGAGTACAGGCATGAGCCACTGCACCCAGCCAAGTGCTTTTATTTTCTTAAGCCAATTAATTAGAGCTCTTTTATATATTTTCAGTAGCAAAACACTGTGTACACAACAACACATAAATACACAGATGTATTAGGTATGCTGAAAGAAGTTCATCTTATAGATTCATAAAGAGCTTTTTTCTTACACCTTCAAATTCTTTTTTACTTTTTTTTTTTTTTTTTTGAGACAGAGTCTCACTCTGTTGCCCAGGCTGGAGTGCAATGGCTTGATCTCGACTCACTGCAACCTCTGCCTCCTGGCTTCAAGTGATTCTCCTGCCTCAGCTTCCTGAGTAGCTGGGATTATAGGCACCTGCCACCACACCTGGCTAATTTTTTTTGTATTTTTAGTAGAGACGGGGTTTCAACATGTTGGCCAAGATGGTTTTGAACTCCTGACCTCAAGAGATCTTTGCGGCTCAGCCTCCCAAATGCTAGGATTACAGACGTGAGCCACCGTGCCCAGCCACACCTTCGAATTCTTGATAACCTGTTTTACTACTCTAAGCGGTTGTCAGCTAAATAGCCTTGAATTTGCATTTTAAGGAAACTGAGGTGAAAATCGAATAGCAAAATTTACATCATAACGTATGGAGAGAAAAAGTCTGGTGTGCTGGAGGGAAATTAAAACAGATTTAATTGCCAATTAAACATAAAATTATAGAAATTATAAAGGCCTTTTAAATATATACACACACACAAAGATCCTATAGCTTTTACTTCAGAAATTTAGCCATGAAAGCTGGGCGCGGTGGCTCACGCCTGTAATCCCAGCACCTTGGGAGGCCGAGGCGGGCAGATCACCTGAGGTCAGGAGTTGGAGACCAGCCTGACGAACATGGAGAAACCCCATCTCTACTAAAAATACAAAAAATTAGCCAGGCGTGGTGGTGCATGCCTGTAATCCCAGCTACTCGGGAGGCTGAGGCAAGAGAATCACTTGAACCAGGGAAGCGGAGACTGTGGTGACCCAAGATCACGCCATTGCACTCCAGCCTGGGCAACAAGAGTGAAACTCTGCCTCAAAAAAAAAAGAAAAAAAAAAGAGAAAGAAAAGAAAAAAAGAAATTTAGCCATGAAATAAATACAAATTCACCAGTTTACAAACAGAAAAACTATCTGATCCAAACAGTGTTTTTTATCTTAATAGGAAAATAACAGCAAATTTAAAGCAGGCAGAGAAGAAACTAGAGAAAAAAGAGGACTCAGGAACTCTACAGTTTGCAGGTCAACCTCAGGGCTCCTTTTTTTTTTAATGTAAATGTGCAGAAAGACCATATTACTTCCACTTTACGTAAACTCTGGCAAGTAGAGGCGCCATGAACCCTATGGAGTACTCGGCTGGGAGGAGCAAACGCCCTTTCTCTTTGGAGCTGAGAAAACTCAATCTCTCATTTACCTATGACAACAACAGTTCAGTTCCTCATGCAAATACATAGACAACCCAAACTGAGATTCATTTTGGGAGAAAAAGCAATAGAGAAGACCCTTTAGGATGCATCTCTGAACTAGAATTAGGATCCTTAAATCACAGCTTCCTAGAAGAGAAAAAAAAAAAAAAAAAACAGCCAAGACCATTCCCTGTAAACTGTGCTCAGCCACCCCTTCTTTGTAGTTCTCGTCTGCCATTACACACGCCAAGGTCAAATCCTCTCACAGTGCAGGGTCATCTCTGGTTCCCCCAAAGCCAAAGAGGTCAGGTCATGCCGTACAGGAAGACAGCAGAGCTTTAGACCTAAGAAGAATCCGCCCATCACTCTTGAAACTCCACAAAGAAAACAGAGCACCCTGGAAGGGGTGAGTGGCCCCTTTGTTCCGGATCCTTTAAAGGGGCTCGAGTCATTGGAAGCCTTCTCTAGATTTTTTTGGTCCCGCAGATGGCAAAGGCAGGAGGAGGTATAGGGAGGAAGAAAAGTAAGTGAAAGAGCATTTGTTGTTTTTGTTTGTTTGTTTTTTAAGACAGAAAGCAAACACAGAAACCAAGCACGTGATTTGTTGGTTTTTTTCGTTTAGTTTTTTCCTCTTTTGCAGCTGCAAGGAATTTTAGCCAAATTAGAGAGGCTTTGTTACCCATAATTTGGAATTCTCACTTGGATTTGACCAAGTCAGGTAGAGTTGGTCAAATCTGATGAGAGAAAGACCAGAAAAAACAACAACAACAGAAGTCAAATGATATGAACACAGACTGCTCTAATGGGAAGAAGAAATTCAGACCAGCTGGTTGTTAACCTTCAGCCAAGACAAAACCTCAGTTCAGCTACTTACCTAGGGATGGGTCTCAGGCTGAAGACTGCTCTCTACCATCCTTGAAGCAGGAAAAAAACTCGAACTTGTCTTCCCTGCTGGGAGCAAGCTCAAACTCCATAAAAGAGTTGTCAGCCTTCCATCATCACGGACCCAGGAAATCTTGCCTTCCTTCTTGGAAGCAAATAAAACTCCAAAAGAAGGGGAGGGGGAGTTGTACATCAAATAAACTTTAGATCACGACCAAGTTTTGAGAGATCAGGGACTCTCTGGAGGGGGTGCTCCCAGACCTCAGCAAATTGTCCTGTTGGTTTGAGCCATAAGGTTAGCTCATGCTGCTACCAAGCACCAATAGATCTGTCAAAGGTCAGGGGCACCTCAACTCAGAATCCCTCCATGGTTACCAAAATGTGAACCCCCCAAATCTGAGACAGGTCTCAGTTAATTTAGAAAGTTTATTGTTCCAAGGTTGAAGATGCACACCCGTGACACAGCCTCAGGATGTCCTGACGACATGTGCCAAGGTGGTCATACGTTTTAGGGAGACATGAGACATCAATCAACACATGTAAGATGAACATTGGTTCAGTCTGGAAAAGGCCGGGCAACGCCAAGCAAACGTGGGACAACTCGCAGCCAGGAGAAAGCTTCCAGGTCACAGGTGGGTGAGAGACAAAGGTCGCATTCTTTTGAGTTTCTGATGGGCCTTTCCAAAGAAGGCAATCAGATATGCATCTATCTCAGTGAGCAGGGGGTGATTTTGAATAGAATGGGGGGCAGGTCGGCCCTAAGCCATTCCCGGCTTGACTTTCCCCTTTAGCTTAGTGACTTTGGGGGCCCAAGATTTATTTTCCTTTCACAAAACAATAAACATAACAAATAAGTGAATTATAGAAAGGTGAAAACTATGGAAAAAAAAGAAAAACAGGGAGAAAGAATCCTGAACACTGACGTGGGGAGGGCAGGTGCCAGCTGCAGTACTAAATAGCAGAGGGGAGGGCAGGTACCAACTGCAGTACTAAATACTGGTGTGGGGAGGGCAGGTGCCAGCTGCAGTACTAAATACTGCTGTGCGGAGGGCAGGTGCCAGCTGCAGTACTAAATAGCAGAGGGGAGGGCAGGTGCCAGCTGCAGTACCAAATACTGGTGTGGGGAGGGCAGGTGCCAGCTGCAGTGCGTGGGGAGGGCAGGTGCCAGCTGCAGTGTGTGGGGAGGGCAGGTGCCAGCTGCAGTACTAAATAGCGGGGGAAGATTTTTTTCTGAGCAACTTTGAGTCACTGCTCACATCTCATGCCAATGTATTAATCCCAAGTCAAGGGTCAGATGAGGCACTCGGATCTCTCCAGTTGCCAACACAGCTCTTCCAAGTGTACTTTACTTCCTTTCATTCCTGCTCTAAAACTTTATTTATGTATTTATTTTTGAGACAGAATCTTGCTCTGTCGCCTGGGCTGGAGTGCAGTGGCACAATCCCAGTTCACTGCAACCTCTGCCTCTGGGATCAGGCAATTCTCCTGCCTCAGCTTCCTAAGCAGCTGGGATAACAGGTGTGCACCACCGTGCTTGGCTAATTTTTTTTTTCTTTTTTCGTATTTTTAGTAGAGATGGGGTTTCACCATATTAGCCATGATGGTCTCGTACTTCTGACCTCAGGTGATCCACCTGCTTTAGCCCCCCAAAGTGCTGGGATTACAGGTGTGAGCCACCACGCCCAGCCCTGGCCAACTTTTGTTTTTTTTGAGACAGAGTTTCATTCTTATTGCCCAGGCTGGAGTGCGATGGCCCAATCTTGGCTCACTGCAACCTCTGCCTCCCAGGTTTGTAGGATATAATAAATTCTTCTTCAAAGGTTTTAGCCTGTAAATTGTTAAGTACAATGAGTTCTGAGATCCTCTCCAAAGAATCAATGTATCAGTATGTTCAGCTCTTCATTTTAAAGTTTAACTTCCTCGTTTTCTTCATCTCCTTGCCCCTAGTTTCAGTAAACAACCCCCTCCTAGCCTCTATCACCTGCTCCATCCTGAGTCACCCCCAGTCACCTGCTCTAATCTGAGTCATCCTGAGTCAACAGGGTTTCACCATGTTGGCCAAGTTGGTCTCGAACTCCTGACCTCATGTGATCCGCCCACCTCAGCTTCCCAAAGTGCTGGGATTACAGGCGTAAGCCATCGTGCCTGGCCAGTTTTCACTTTAAAATGATCTCTAATACCAACTCTTGGGGTCCAAATGGGTCCCCACTGGTTTCAAATGTTGAGCATGCACAGATTATGTGGATGAGAACTTGCCAGGTGGGCTTACCGAAGGAGACGTGGTAAGAATCGCCTACATTTGCCAGGCCCTGAGGACAGGCCCTCTCCACACCGAGGCTTATTTCCTTGGGTTGCAGAAGAGGAAACGCCAGGGAGCCCAGTATTCTTTGGTTCATTCACTTCTTTTTTATGTTGTAACCTACATACTGTAAACTACGCCCAGCTTAAGTAGCGTATACCCTGATGAATTTTTATGTACGTATGTATCCCCAGGATGTATCCGACACTCAGGTCAAGATACAGAACGTGCTCAGCACCTCAACAGGTGCCCTTGTGTTCCCTTCCAGTCAAGCCCCCACTTGCCACCACAGAATGGAACAATCATTTTTTTTTATTTTTTATTTTTTATTTTTTTTTTTTTTTTAGAGACAGGGTCTCGCTCTGTCTCCAAAGCTGGAGTGCAGCTCCATCATGGTTCACTGCAGCCTCCGCCTCCTGGGTTTGAGCGATCCTCCCATTTCAGTGTAACCACCATTCTTATCTCTATCACCATAGATTAGCTCTGCATGTCTTTGAACTTCATATAAATGGAATCATGCATAGATAGGCTCTTTTGTGTCTGGATTCTCTCTGTTAACACTGTGTCTGTGAGACTCACTCACGCTGTGTGTAGTATTATGCTTCATCCTTTTTTGTTGTTGCATAGTATTCCACTGTATAAATATACCACAATTTATTTGTCTGTTTTCCAATTGCTGTGCATTTGGATTGTTTTGTTTTTCACTATTTTGAATAAAGCTGCTATGAACATCCTTGTATATGTCTTGGGTATACAGATGGTCCTGGCTTACAATGATTGGATTTAAAATTGTTTGACTTTATGATGGGCTTATCAGGGTATTAAATGTGTTTCTGACTTACAGTATTTTTGACTTACCACGTGTTTATTGGGACGTAACCCCTTCCTAAGATGAAGAGCATCTGTATACATCCAGAATCCTGTGGAGCAACTCATAACCCATGAGGAATGGAAGCCGACAGACAGACTCATCCCCAGGACAGATGGTTCTCACTACATCTCATAAAGCTTCTTAGAAGATCTTACAGGATTGAGCAACCAGCCAGCCACAGCAGGGGCCAACTGGATAACACGTCTTTGCACAGGCTCTCCCTCTGTCCCTGTCACCCTCCCCTTTTCCTAACCTTGTTCCTTGGGATTATGTTTTGAAATAAATTATTCAGAGAAATGAAGCCAAAGCTGACCCATTAGCCAATAGCTAGGTTCTGTGATGACAGAGCTTCTGGGCTATAATCGTTTACTGAGAAGCCAGCGTTCCTGAGGGGATAATGGCTCGTTCCATTCAGCTGCAGCATAGGAGTGAGGGCAGGGCATTAGCAGAAGATAACACCAGAAACGTGCTCTGGGGCCTGTTGATGACTTTCTGTGCCAAGCGTAGACATTTAGCCTTTATTCTGTATGTGATGGGAAGCCAGTGCCAGTGGTGGGTTTGAGCAGGGAACCAGCAACCAGTGGTGGGTTTGAGCAGGGAACCAGCAATACTCAAGCTCTGCTTGGATGGAGGCCAGTCAGGGAGGAGTTAGGGCAGGAGGACCAGTCAGGGAGGAGACTTAGGGCAGGAGGACCAGTCAGGGAGGAGACTTAGGGCAGGAGGACTGGTCAGGGAGGAGTTAGGGCTGGAGGACGGGTCAGGGAGGAGACTTAGGGTAGGAGGACCGGTCAGGGAGGAGACTTAGGGCAGGAGGACTGGTCAGGGAGGAGACTTAGGGCAGGAGGACTGGTCAGGGAGGAGACTTAGGGCAGGAGGACTGGTCAGGGAGGAGACTTAGGGCAGGAGGACGGGTCAGGGAGGAGACTTAGGGTAGGAGGACTGGTCAGGGAGGAGACTTAGGGCAGGAGGACTGGTCAGGGAGGAGACTTAGGGCAGGAGGACTGGTCAGGGAGGAGACTTAGGGTAGGAGGACTGGTCAGGGAGGAGTTAGGGCAGGAGGACTGGTCAGGGAGGAGTTAGGGCAGGAGGACTGGTCAGGGAGGAGTTAGGGCAGCAGTATCGGTCAGGGAGGAGTTAGGGCAGGAGGACCGGTCAGGGAGAAGTCAGGGCAGGAGGACTGGTCAGAGAGGAGTTAGGGCAGGAAGCCTGTCTGGGAGGAGTTAGGGTAGGAGGACCAGTTAGGAGGCAGTGACTTAGGACTTCAGCAGTGGCACTAGAAAGGGGATGGATATGAACGACATTGCAAAGTAAAACTAGAGAGACGGCCGGGCACAGTGGCTCACTCCTGTAATCCCAGCACTTTGGGAGGGCAAGGCGGGTGGATCATGAGGTCAGGAGATCGAGACCAGCCTGGCCAACATGGTGAAACCCTATCTCTACTAAAAAAAAAAAAAAAAATAGCCAGGCGTGGTGGCGGGCGCCTGTAATCCCAGCTACTCCAGAGGCTGAGGCAGGAGAATTTGCTTGAACCAGGGAGTCGGAAGTTGCAGTGAGCTGAGATCGCACCACTGCACTCCAGCCTGGGCAATAGAGTGAGACTCCGTCTCAATAACAAAACAAACAAACAAAAAACTAGAGAGACTTGGCACCTTGCAGAGAGAAGCAAAAGATGACCCTGAGGTCTGGAGTCCAGGAAGCCAAGGACAGCAAAAGCATCCACAGAAACAGGAAAACGGCAGGTGTGGGAGGGAAGGTGAGAGGTTCATCAGACTCCACAGCCCCTGGCAGCGCCTCCTGGATCTTTGAAATCCTGTGCACCCCAGGAGACTCCGGGAGGCCCATCTGAGCTCACCGGAGACAGGTCTGCCGTCTCTCCTCTCATCACTGGGGACAGAAAGCCTGAACATGAGGCCTGGACTACGGGGCTCAGACCAGAATATTTCCAGACTTAAGGGCAGTAATGTGGAGCCCAGGAAGGAATATTGAGGACAGAGGGCACATTACTTAGCTCAAGGGGTGCTGGGTTCTTATTTTCTACTTTCAAGAAATGTTTGCTATAGTCACTCTAACCACCACAAAACAGTGAATAATACCATGAGCCAAATGTATGTTTCACAATTTGTATGGCTGATTCTACGCACATTTAAATGTGTTTATGACAATTGTAGATTTCGGTTTTCCTCTGGTTAAACCAATGTGGAAGTACACAGGATGGGAGCTGAGAGACAAGCATCCTGGGCCCAGCCATGCTGGCCTCAGTGGGCCAAGCTGGGGACAGATGACCTCTGCTCCGTGGATCCTGCTGGCTCAGGGTGGGGAAGGGGCCTCAGGAGAGGAGTCAGGCTCTCTTCTTTATTCTCCTCACAGCCATGGTGAATGGCATTCCTGGGAGGCTGGTTTGGAGAACTCGCTGAACCTAAGTGAGCAGGAAGTGAAGGTCTGTTCCCACCTGTGCCTGTGTTCCCAGATAGCAGCTGCCTCCAGGAGACTCACCAGGAGCCAGGTCCCTCCATACCTGATCTCAATTAACTCACTCACCAGGAGCCAGGTCCCTCCACACCTCATCTCAATTAACTCACTCACCAGGAGCCAGGTCCCTCCATACCTCATCTCAATTAACTCACTCACCAGGAGCCAGGTCCCTCCAAACCTGATCTCAATTCACTCACTCACCAGGAGCCAGGTCCCTCCATACCTCATCTCAATTCACTCACTCACCAGGAGACAGGTCCCTCCATACCTCATCTCAATTCACTCACTCACCAGGAGCCAAGTCCCTCCACACCGGGTCTCAATTAACTCACTCGCCAGGAGCCAGGTCCCTCCATAATGGATCTCAATTAACTCACTCACCAGGAGCCAGGTCCCTCCACACCTCATTTCAATTAACTCAGTCACCAGGAGACAGGTCCCTCCATACCTCATCTCAATTAACTCACTCATCAGGAGCCAGTCCTCTCCATACCTGATCTCAGTTACCTCACTCACCAGTAGCCAGGCCTCTCCAGACCTGGCTTAATTCTCACTACACTTAATTCAATTAATTCTCACTATAGCCCTATCAGACAAACTCTAGGATACACATGAGGATACAGAGTCTCAGAAAGGCTGAGAAAGTGGCTTGAGGTCACCTAGGTGGTAAGTGGTAGAGCTAGGAGTTGAAGGCAAGTCTGACTCTCAAGTCCACGCTCGTTCCATTGCACTATCTGCTTTTCTTTCTCCCCAAAGCCACAATATGCCACGATGCGGCCCAAGGCCTCTCCTCCAGTACCGTGCTGAGGGCTCTGAACAGATCAGGGCTGAAGCCAAGATGTCATCCAGTGCAATACCCACATGACCTCCGTGAATATCTACCCTGCCTTAACACTGTTTATCTTTAGGAAGCAGGATGCCTGAGGTCCAAACTTCTCCCTGGTGATCAAACCAGCTAAGACTGATGGAATCCAAGATGGCAGCTCATTTGACCTCTAACTTCATTATAATCTAATTTCCATGTTAAATGACAGTCCCACTAACACCGTAACAGTCAACAACCAACATGACAATGATGGGAAAAAATAACATAAAAAAACAAATAGGAAGGTGGCACTCTGGTTTTGAAAATTTCTCCACCCAGACCCAGAAAACACATGATTCCTCCCCTTGCTTTTTTCATTTTTATTTTTGTAGAGATGGGGGTGTATCACTATGTTGACCAGGATGGTCTCGAACTCCTGGTCTCAGCAATCCTCTCATTTTGGCCTCCCAAAGTTCTGGGTTTATGGGAGTGAGCCATTGCACCTGGCCACTCCTCCCCTTGCTTTTAATGCTCAGCCCCTTCACTAAAGATGCCCTGTATCTGTGACTTCCTGGGTCTCACGAGCAGAAAAGTTGATTTGTGAGCCAAGCTCTCACTTCTCAATTCCATGGCCACCAAATAAAGCCTGCACTGCTTGAGGCTCACTTTCGGTTTTGCATATTGGCTTCATGGCACCAAACAGGGAAAGACCCCATTTTAGGGAAAGTGGCTTTGTCAGTAACAAGGACACAGAAGGAAAGAAATGGAGGATGATTTAGGGCAGAAGTCAGCAAACTATGGTCTATGGGCCAAATCTGGCCACTGCCTGTTTTTGTGCAACTCATAGGCTAAGAATGTTTTCTACATTTTTAGATGGTAGGAGAAGAACAAAAGAGGAAGAATGTTTTGTCACAAAAGTATATGAGATTCAAATTTCAGTGTCCACAGACGGCAATCCTGGCTCCTACCCCTAAAACAATCATTGCAGTGGAGCTCTGCCCTAGCTACGGCCCCTTTCTTCTTTTGGTTCCCTGACTTTGGGGCCTGGAGGGCACAAAGGCAAGGAGCAGGCTGCCATCCACCCCTTCTTAGAGAACCTGCAGGGAGCTCACCATGCTCTGCATCCAGTCTAGGTGGCTCCTAGCGGGGCTTGGTGGGTTCTCCATCCTCAGCACCATCTGCAGCACCATCTTGGTCATCTGAGAAGCTGAGAGAAACACAAGGTAAATGTTCCTGTCCTCATTTCTGCCTCCCAACCCCACTGCTGCTGCTCAATGTCCCCAGTATCTCTCTGCAGACTCCTGTGTGCCCTCAAAAGTCTACACGGTACCAGTCAAGAGACATCCATACTGCAAGATGATAGAAAGGTAAGTGGAACCCAACCACCTCACTCTCTACCCTCATGTCTACCACGGACAGCTGAACCTCTCCCTGTGGAACCTGGAAAAGTAGCTCAGAGAGGAGTAGCAGGTGGCAAGGAACATCAGGGAAACAAAGCTAGAAGGAGCATGTAGGCACCTTTGACCTGAAATAGACAAGATGCAAGATCTCAGGATTGTCAGGGACCTTAGGAACCATCTAGGCCACATCCCGGCTTTGGCCTGAAGTGCAGGCAAAGGGTTTGCCTCTGCCAGCCATAGCATCCAGCTTTGCTGTCGGTGGAATCGGGCCTGTATGTGAGTTACCAGGGTTGCAGAGGACACTGTGGTCTGGGTGGCAGTCTGGTGCCACATGGCAGAATTCATCACAGTAGCAACTTCCCCTCTTGCAGTGGTGATCCGTCCCAAGACAGCAAAGGTTCTGGGGTTGGGAGCAGCTGCCTGGAGAAAAAGGAACATTAAAAAAAAAAAAAAAGATTAAAATTAGCCGGGTATGGTGGTGCACGCCTGTAGTCCCAGCTACCCAGGAGGCTGAGACAGGAGATCACTTGAGCCCAGAAGCAGGAAGCTGAAGTGAGCCATGATCACACCAGCGCACTTCAGCCTGGGTGACAGAGCAAGACCCTGTATCAAAAAAAAAAAAAAAAAAAAAGAAAAAGAAAAGATAGATTTAACAAATGGTGCTTAGACAACTGGATAAGCACATGCAAAAGAATGCATTTGGACTCCTACCTCAAACCATATACAAATATTAACTCAAAATGGACCATAGACCTAAATGTAAGAGCTGAAACTGGCTGGGTGCGGTGGCTCATGCCTGTAATCCCAGCACTTTGGGAGACCAAGGCAGGCAGATCACTTGAGGCCAGGAGTTCAACACCAGCCTGGCCAACATGGTGAAACCCCTGTCTCTACTAAAAACACAAAAATTAGCTGGGCTTGGTAGCATGCACCTATAGTCCCAGCTACTCAGGAGGCTGAGGCAGGAGAATTGCTTGAACCCAGGAGGTGGAGGTTGCAGTGAGCCAAGATTGCACAACTGCACTCCAGCCTGGGCAACAGAGCAAGCCTCTGCCTCCAAAATAAATAAATAAATAAAAATAAGTCAATCAAATTTAAAACTGGACAAAGGATTTAAATAGACATTTCTCCAAAGAAGATACACAAGTGGCCAGTGAGCATGAAAGATACTCAACATCATTAATCATAAGGAAATGCAAATCCAAACCACAATGAGATACCACCCCACATCCAGTAGGACAGCTAAGATAAAAAATAAAACAGCAAGTGTTGGCTGGGTGGGGTGGCTCACACCTGTAATCACGGCACTTGGGAACACTGAGATGGGTGGATGACGAGTTCAGGAGTTTGAGACCATCCTGGCCAGCATAGTGAAACCCTGTCTCTACTAAAAATACAAAAATTAGCTGGGTGTGGTGGCATGCACCTGTAGTCCCAGCTACTCAGGAGGCTGAAGCACGAGAATCTCTTGAACCCAGGAGGCAGAGGTCGCAGTGAGCTGAGATCACGCCACTGCACTCCAGCCTGGCGACAGAGCGAGACCCCATCTCAAAAAAAAAAAAAAAAAGCAAGTGTTGAAGTGTTGCTGAGGGTGTGGAGAAATTGGAACCCTCATACACTGCTGGTGGAATTGCAAAATGGTGCAGCCACTTTGAAAATCAATTTGGGGAGATGAGGTGGCAGCAGAAAAGAATAAAAAAAAAAAAGAAAAAAAAGAAAAACAATTTGACAGTTTCTCAGAATGTAAACATAGAGTTGCCATATGACCCAGAAACCCTACTTCTGAGCCTGTAGTTAGGAGAATTAAAAACACATGTTCACACAAAAACCTATCAATGAATATTCATAGCAGTGTTATTCATAATAGCCAAATAGTAGAAACAATTCAAATGCCCTTCAACTGATGAATGGCTAAAACTAAATCTGGTATATCCATATAATGGGATATTACTCAGCCATAAAAAGGAATGAAGTACAGATGCATGCCACAACAACAATGAAACTTGAAAACATGCTAAGTGAAAGAAGCCACTCACAAAAGGCCGTGTATTGTATGATTCCATTTATATGAAATGTTTAGAATAGACAAATCCATCAAGACAGAAAGTATATTAGTGGTTGCCAGGGGCTGGTGAGATGTGTGGACCAGGCAGTGACTGCTGATGGGTCAGAGTTTATTTGGGGCATAACAAACATGTTCTGAAATTAGACAGAGGTGGCCAGGCGCAGTGGCTCACACCTGTAATCCCAGCACTTTGGGAGGCCGAGGCGGGCAGATCATTTGAGGTCAGGAGTTTGAGACTAGCCTGGCCAACGTGGCAAAACCCTGTCTCTACCAAAAAGTGCCAAAAAAATAAAATAAGACAGCAGTGATGGTTCTGCAACCCTGTGAATACACTGAACAACACTGAAATGTACACATGGTGAATTGTACAAAAGGGTAAATCTCACATCCTGTAAATTATCTCTCAATAAAGCTGTTATTAAACAGAGAGAGAGAGAAGGAGAGAAAAGGGGGAGATAAGATGAGGACGGTAATGGGAGTGACAGCGAAGAGAGAAATAGAGAAAACAGCAGAGAAGAGAGTGCCTAAGAGGGAGAGAAACCCCTCCCCCACTCCCCACAGTTAGAGGAAGGTCTTCCAGAGCCCTGTTTACAAACCAGTTCTGCCAACTCTACCCCCTGCCCAAATTTCCCCAAATTGCTCAGCTCAGTTGTGATCTGGTCATTGTCATTCCCTCCAAGAGAAGGGGATGCATCTTCTTTAAGAGTGCGGCAAGCAAGGCGTGGGCAGGAGGGACGCTGGCCCAGTTACCTGGCGAGTCTGTGGCTCAGGTGAGCAGGGGACCCAGGTGTTGTCACCCCAGGACTCTCAACACTCTTCTCCGTCTACTTGACTTTGACCTTCCAAATTGCTTCCTGTTAGGTTAACACCTGGCTCTTTAGGGCTAAACTGGAGGGCTTTGTTTAGGGATAAACTTGAAGGCCTTTCAAAGTTGACACGATCAACAGGGAGCAGGCCTCTGAGCCCTGTGGGCCTGGGTGTGGCTGAGCCAGTCTGTTGTGGAAACAGGGCCAGCAGGTGTCCGGTAGTGTGGTCTGGGGGGTCAAGACTCTGAAGGTGAGGGTGGCCTGGCTGGGGCCATAGCCTCTGAGTTTGGCCTGGCTTTTGCCTCATGTTCAGCTCAGGAGCCTCCTGCAAGTGATCAGCTTCTCTTCTCATGTTGTCCCTCTTCTCCAGAGCCTGGTGCTGCGTCAGGTTGTCACCAAGACCAGGGATCAACCAGAAAGGGCTGGAGTGGAAATAGAGCCCCAGGAGCCACCCAGACTAAGGTTGCCGACAATCTGTGAGACTGAGTTCAATTCAGTGGTCATAACCAACATTTATTTCAACAGGATGACACTGAATGAAATAGAATAGAATAGACCCACATACATTGTATGTAAAAGTCAACTGAGTTCTTTTTGAAATTTCTGTTGGTTTTTATACACACAGATGCACTTACTGGGTCAGAGTATAAAATGTATTTATTAAAGTGAACTGGGGCCAGAAACGTTGGAAAGCCACTGATCTAGAGAGATGTCCTCATTGTATAGACAAGGGGAGAACCTTTTGCCCATGGCTGGGAGTCAAACCAGCAATCCTGACCTCTCCCCTGCTTTCCCACCATATCGTGCTCAGGGTCCTCACTCAAAAAGCCTCTTGTTGCACGTGCTACAGAGCTCTGCTGTTCTCTAAACACCCTGCATTCTCCTGCCTCTGAGCCTTTGCTCAAGCTCTTCCCTCGGCTTGGAAGGCCCTTCCCTCCCATATCCATTAGAATTAAATATTCTATGCTTCAAGGCAGCATTTGAAGACAACTTCCCCCGGGGTGCCGAGGAGCTAGCTCATTATTATGAAGATGAAAAATAAAGAATCAAACATTGATCCAGCCTTTCCATCCAAGCCAAATAGTTGACAAGGGAAATATCTTCACGACAGAGAACCTTCGGCTAACAAGTGCAGAAAGAATGATAGAAAAGCACTACTTGGCAGCCCCTAATGAGAAGTGGATCTCAGCACAAATCATTAGTGGACAGAATTTTATAATGGGTGCACTATCTGGTGGATGAAGTTTAACACCAGTAAAAGTGGGACAGCTGGACACTTTGTGTCTCCTTCGAGGCGCGATAGGAAGTACCCACCTATGGATTCTTCCTGCCTAAGAAATCTCCAGTCCTGATCTCAACTACCAGAGTTCAGGAAAGACAGAGGCAGAGGGACATCCACAAAGATTCAATCAGTCAAACCCAGAAGGTAGGATATGCCGCAGGACACAGTACCTGGTTCGTTCAACAGCTAAATGACATGAAAAAATGGCACTGATCTAGGTATAGATTTAAAGACATTTAAGAAATATGCTAGTTAAACATGTGTGCATATCTTTTTTGGATCTTGACTTGAATAAACCAGCTGTAAAAAGGCATTTTTCTTTCTTTCTTTTTTTTTTTTTTTTTTTTTTTTTTTTGAGACATGGTCTCACTCGGTGCAGCAGACTGGAATGCAGTGGTATGGTCACAGCTCGCTGCAGCCGCAACTTCTGGGGCTCAAGCAATTTTCTCACTTCAGCCTTCTGAATAGCTGGGACTATAGGTGAACATCAACACACCTTGCTAATTTTTAAACAAATTTTTTTTTTGTAGAGACTGAGTCTCGCTATTGTACCCAGGCTGGTCTCAAACTCCTGAGCTCCAGTGATCCTCCCACCTTGGCCTCCCAAAGTGCTGGGACTACAGGCATCAGCCACCACATCTGACCTTATTTTTTCTTTTTCTCTTCTGCTTTGCTGCTGAATAACAAGATATTTTTGACAAGTGGGGGAAATATGAACACTGATAGGTATTAAACGATAGTAAGTAGTTTTTTAAATTAATTAATTAATTAATTTTTTTTTTAAAGACAGAGTCTTGCTCTGTTGCCCAGGCTGGAGTGCAGTGGCGCAATCTCGGCTCACTGCAACCTCCACCTCCCTGGTTCAAGTGATTCTCCTGCCTCAGCCTCCCGAGTAGCTGGGATTACAGGTACCCGCCACCATGCCTAGCTAATTTTTGTATTTTTAGTAGACACAGGGGTTTCACCATGTTGGCCAGGCTGGTCTTGAACTTCTGGCCTCAGGCGATCTGCCCGCCTCAGTCTCTCAAAGTGTTGGGATTACAGGTGTGCGACCATATTTGTTTTGGCTCTGATAAGGTATTGTGGTTATATTTTTTAAATATGGGGGATAAGAGCTTGAGCATAATGTTGATAATATTGAAGGTGGCCAACTGGTACCTTGGGTTCATCATCCTATTCTCTTTACTTTTGCATGTGTTTGAATTTTTCCACAATAAATAGCTTTGGGTTTTTTTTTTTTTTTTTTCCTGAGATGGAGTCTCCCTCTGTCACCCAGGCTAGAGCGCAGTGGCGCAATCTCGGGTCACTGCAACCTCTGTCTCCCAGGTTCAAGTGATTCTCCTGCCTCAGCCTCCCAAGTAGCTGGGATTACAGGCACCCACCACCACACCTGGCTAATTTTTGTATTTTAATAGCGATGGTATTTCACCATGTTACCCAGGCTGGTCTTGAACTCCTGACCTCAAGTGATCCACCCGTCTCGGCCTCTCAAAGTGCTGGGATTACAGGCGTGAGCCACCGCACCCAGCCAAGAAGTACAGCCTTGTGCCACATCACGATGTTTAGACCGATGATGGACCATATATATGACGGTGGCCCCATAAGATTATAATAGGGCATATGCAGAAACCCGATATATGGTGCTCGATATTGGCCTTGAGGATCAAGCAGGGGAAATGACTGATGTTCAGTAATGGGACATGTGCTGGGACATGTGGCTTTCCATGTGGAAAACAAACATGTAAATAAATATATATATAAACCATCTAGGTTTATGTAAACTCTCGATTTCATTGTTGTGTGAACTCTATGATATTCATACAACAAAGAAATCATCTGATGATGCATTTCTCAGAATGTGTCTCCATCATTAAGCAACAGCTGACTGTGTTCCTACCAATGACATCTAGTTTTCTCCCAAGAGAAGTTCTAGGGCCAGGCACGGTGGCTCACACCTGTAATCCCAACACTTTGGGAGGCGGAGGTGGGCAGATCACCTGAAGTCAGAAGTTCAAGACTAGCCTGGCTAACATGGCGAAACCCTGTCTCTATTTAAAATGCCAAAAATTAGCCAGGCATGGTGGTGCATGCCTATAATCCCAGCTACTCGGGAGGCTGAGGCAGGAGAATGGCTTGAACCCAGAAGGTGGAGGTTGCAGTGAGCCGAGATCGTACCACTGCACTCCAGCCTGGCGGGGGACAGAGCAGACTCTGTCTGAAAAAAAAAAAAAGAGAGAGAGAGGAGAGAGAGAGAGAAGTTCTAGTAAATGCAACTGTATTCACCCTGTTGTATTTCCAGGGATGTTTGAATAAACCCAGTAGACTGGTGCCTGGAAATTGCCCAGTGAGTCTGCCTGTTAATCTGGATCTGGGTTTATCACACCTACCTTCCCTCCTGTCCCGTCCACCCCAGCCACCCACAGTGCCCACGCTGCCTCTATCCGAGGGAGCATCCTCTGGATACTAGACCCTCCCAAGCTGATCATCCAAAGACATCTTATCCAGATATAAAACTGGATACACAAAGAAGCCACATCAACCATATAGTCGGTACTTAATAAGTGTCTGAATACATGAATTATTTGATTAATGAATTAATGAATGCTGGGTCACAGGAGGTGGGTCATGCCAGAGACAAAACAGATTAATTGATTGAATGAATGAGAGAGCAGAGACTGGGGTCTCTTTGACCTGTAGCACAGATGCCAGCCTAGCTCCTCACCTGTCTTCACCCCAAGGCTCAGCCACAGCAGGAGGAGGAGGACCAGCCACGTGGCAGCAGGCATCAAGCAGAGATAGAAGTGCTGCAGCGTCCAAGGCCTGGTCTTTAAATATCCACCCATCCCAGCCAGCCCACCTGGTTCCTCCCTACTCCTGGGGAGGAACCAGCAGACACCTGGGCAGTCACTGGCAGACAGCAGGAGTGACACAGGTATCCCAGCTGCTTGAAATAGCTCACCCAAGCAGAGGTAATTTTGACATCCTGGAAACTCCAGCCTCCAGGGGAAGAATCTGAAAAACCAGAGTGACAAAATGACAGCGCTCACAGGAACTTTGCAGATTATCTAATCTTTTTATTTATTTTATTTTATTTTTTGAGACAGAGTCTCACTCTATCGCCCAGGCTGGAGTGCAGTGGTACGATCTCAGCTCACTGCAACCTCTGCCTCCCGGGTTCAAGAGGTTCTTCTGCTTCAGCCTCCCCAGTAGCTGGGATTACAGGTGGCTACTATTACACCCAGCTAATTGCTGTATTTTTAGTAGAGACGAGTTTTCACCACGTTGGCCAGGCTGGTCTCAAACTCCTGACCTCAGGTGATCCACTGCCTCAGCCTCCCAAAGTGCTGGGATTACAGGCATGAGCCACCACACCTGGCCAATTGACTTTTATTAGCATTCATATACAGGTTTTGTGTGAATATATGTTTTCATTTCTCCGGGATAAATGTGCAAAAATGAAATTACTGCATCATATAGTAGTTGCACATTCAGTCATAAAAAAAAACAGCCAAGCTGTTTCCCAGAGTGGCTGCACCACTTTAAATTCTCACAGCAGTGATTGAGTGGTACAGTTCCTTTGCATCCTTGACAATAGTATTGTTACTATTTTTTATTTTGGTGATTCTTTTTTTTTTTTTTTTTTTTGAGACATAATCTTGCTCTGTCGCCCAGGCTGGAGCGCAGTGGCATGATCTCAGCTTACTGCAACCTCCGTCTCCTGGGTTTAAGCAATTATCTTGCCTCAGCCTCCCAAGGTGCTAGGACTACAGGCGTGTGCCACCACACCTGGCTAATTTTTGTGTTTTCAGCAGAGACAGGGTTTTGCCATGTTGGCCAGGTTGGTCTTGAATTCCTGATCTCATGTGATCTGCCTGCCCCAGCCTCCCAAAGTGTTGGGATTACAGGTGTGAGCCACCATGCCTGGCCTTATTTTGTTGATTCTAACACGTGGTGATATCTCCTGGTTTAAAGAAGCGTTTCCCTAATGGTATCAAACATCTTTTCATGTGCTTATTTGCAATCTGTATATCTTCTCCAGTGAAATGTTGCTTTGTATCTTTTGCTCATGTTCTAATTGCATTCTTTGTTTTGTTACTATTTTAAGACTTTTAAATGTATTCTAGATACTAGTCCTTTGCAAATATAGTCATGCATCGCATAAGGACATTTTGGTCAATGACAAACTGCATATAGGATGCGGTCCCATAAGATTATAATAATGGGCCTGAAAAAATTCCTGTTGCCGAGTGCAATGCTACTCATGTGTCTAGTGATGCTCGTGTAAAGCTACTGTGCTGCCACTTGCATAAAAGCACAGCGCACACCATTCTGTACAGTACACAATACTTGATAATGATAATAAATGTGTTCCTGGATAGCACAGCACACACCATTCTGTACAATACACAATACGTGATAATGATAATAAATGTGTTCCTGGTTTATGTATTTACTATAATATACTATTGATCAGTGTTTTAGAGTGTACTCCTTCTCTCTATAAAAGAATTAAGTGAACTAGCAGGCCCTTTGGGAAGTACTGTAGAAGGCATTGTTACCACAGGCGATGACAGCTCCATGTGTGTTATTGCCCCTGAAGACCTTCCAGAGAGACAAAATGTGGAGGTGGAAGACAGTGATACTGATGACCCTGACCCTGTGTGGATCTAGGCTAACATGTGTTTTTGTGTCTTAGTTTTCAACAAAAAAGTTTAAAAAGTTAAAATACTAAGTTTATAAAGTTAAAAAGTTACAGTAAGCTAAGGCTGACTTATTGAAAAAATGTGCTTATACATGTAATATAGCTAAGCTGGCTTTTGCAAACATAGAGTCCTGTGGATGTTATGCTGACTTCGGCTTGGGGTTTTTCACAGAGAGAAGCATGGCAAGGGGGACTCCATCAGGTTGGTGCAAAGGTAATTGCTGTTTTCGCAATTAAAATAATGGGAAAAACTGCAATTACCTTTGCACCCACCTAATAACTTATCTAGGGGACTCTTTCTCCACCCAAAACCCAGGACACTTGGCCCACAACTACATCACCACCCCAGGGTTCCAGGACACTTGGCCCATGACTACATCACCACCCCAGGGTTCCAGGACACTTGGCCCACAACTACATCACCACCCCAGGGTTCCAGGACACTTGGCCCATGACTACATCACCACCCCAGGGTTCTTTACTATAGTTTTCTTGTTCTTCCTTCAATTACGTGTGACATTCCCAACTCCAAGATTCTTCCAGTCCTTCTCTCCCCCTTCATCTAAAGCAGGCTGTCATGAGTTTCTGTCAGCTGCAATCAAGAGTCATGACTCTTACAGTGGGTAGGATTACTCCCTTTTTTGTTGTCATTAAGGAAACCTGTAAGAGGAAAAACAAACACACTTTATGTGGAGAGACAGGGAAAGTTGTTCTATTCAGTCTGGAATCTAGTCCCTCAGCTGGTGGTCCACCTTCGGATTCACTGGTCTTGGGAGTAAGACGGTGCCTTGTAGTCAAAGAAGTGAGGAATTCTGGTGCCTCCTGAGGGTGGAACTGAGGAGAGGAGACGTGAGAGAGGATGCTGGAAAGGAGGAAGCAGCCAGAATGTGTAGGGCCTTTGTGGCCAGGCCAAGGAGCCTCAGGGAATATCTGAGCGTCTTAAATAGGTCAGAGGGCAATTCTGAAAACAAACTCCTTCTACCTGCTGTGTAGGCAATGAGTTGTCATTGTTAGATAGAGGATAAAATGAACCCAATTAGATTATTGCCATCATTCCAGTGATTGAAGATGTTGATCTGTAATAGGGTAATGGCCATACACTTTCGAGAGGAAAAATGTTCAAATTTAGGGGATAATTAGAAATCTGCACTTACAGCCCTTGGTGACACTTTTCCTATGAGCCAAACGGAGAGGGGGAGAGAGAGAGAAGGTGGACAGTCACCGACATATGAGGCAGTGGAAGAGGAACAGGCATGGATAGGAAGAGAATTGTGGGACACACTGGGTTCGAGATGCCTGTGTGAGACAGTCTCATGAATATGTCCAGTAGTATATTGACCAAGCAAGTCTGTCAGGAGCCTCTGGAAATGAGGTACAGAATTTGATAGTCATCACTATGGAGATGGTAACCTGAGCCGTGAGAGAAGCTAAAATCCCCGGGGAGAGGATGTAGAATGAGAGGAGAAAATGGGCCAGGACAAACACAAGGAATGCTCGGAGGGAGGGGCAAAACCAGAACAGTACAGCGTCCCCAAACCAAGGAAAAGAATGTTGCCAGAAGAGGAGAGTCAGGCTGTTTCAAACTCTGCTAAGAAGTGAAGGATGTTGCATATTGAGTAGAGTCCATTGGGGTTACCAGTCAGGCTGACTCAGGGATCCTCTTTGGCAGAAGTAGTTCCAATGAAGTGGGAGGAGGAAGGGAGGAGCAGAGGCCAAATGAGCGTGAGGAGTGTTTAGGAGTTGACAGAAAGTGTATCCACTTTTTTGAGACGTTTAGCCAGGAAGAGGGAGAGACATGGGGCAGTAGGTGGAGGAGGAGATGAAATTAAGGGAGTGTATGGAGTTTTAAAATGGAAAGCTTGATCCTGTTTAAATGCTGTTTTATGCCCCTACGAGGGCGAGGTTAAACATACAGAATAGAGGCATAACTGATAGAGCCAAGACTCCCACCCAGGAGCGGGTTTCGAGCGGCACCTCTCTAATTCAATCCCAAAGGAAAAGAGGATACATGTGGGTCCAGGTACATGCTGAGGTTTGGTGGCAGGACTTTGAAGGAGGTCCCATCTGATGGCTTCTATTTCTCCTGTGAAATAGGGGAAGCCCTGTCTGCTGGTTGTGATGTGCCGTGACAGTCAGAAATGCGGGGAAAAGGGGACAGGTCTGAAACGGGAGGCGTTAAGAATGGGAAAGTAAAGGCAGGCGCGATGGCTCACGCCTGTAATCCCAGCACTTTGGGAGCTCGAGGCGGGTGGATCACCTGAAGTCGGGCATTTGAGACCAGCCTGGCCAACATGGTGTAACCCCATCTCTACTAAAAATACAAAAATTAGCCAGGCATGGTGGTGTGTGCCTGTAATCCCAGCTACTTGGGAGGCTGAGGCAGGAGAATCGCTTGAACCCAGGAGGTGGAGGGTGCAGTGAGCTGAGATCGCGCCGCTGCACTCCAGACTGGGTGGCAAAGCGAGACTCCAACTCAAAAAAAAAAAAAAAAAAGAATGGGAAAGGGAGAGTGTCTGGGGAAGCAGCGTTGCCTCGGCAAGGCCTGAGACCGGCTGGGGTTAGAGATCAGGACTCCCGCGTGGCCTCGTCTCTGCCTCTGTGCATTTTCCCCCAGCAGGTCAGCAGTGTGAAAGGCGGGGGTTCTAGTAGGTCTCACAGGGAGACAATGCAGGAAGGGGCTGAGAATTGCAAGTGAGAGGTTATTGGTAGGACGGACAATGCAGGAGCTGGATGGACTGCACGGACTGAGCGATCGCCACCGAGAGATATTTGGGGTACCCTGCCCCAGTCCCCAGCCCTCAGCCCCCGACCCACCATGGGAGGTGGGAGCAGCGGGCAGGCCGGTTGGGGGCCAGATACCCAGGCAGTGGGATGTGCAGTGGGAGGGGTCTCCGCCCCTGCCCCGGGTCCCCACTGGCCCCTCCGCCGCCGACCGGCCCCCCCGCGGCATCCCAGAGCCGACCCAGGCCCAACTAGAGGAATGGCTGCAGAGCTGGGATCCTAATGACACAGGACAGTGGTGGAGCGTTAAGAGCTCGGTGGTAAACGTGCACTGAAATACAGTCATGCTGTGCAGAAGCTCTCTAGTTTCATTAGATACCTTTTGTCAATTTTGGCTTTTGTTGCCATTTCTTTTGGTGTTTTAGTCATGAAGTCTTTGCCCATGCTTACGTCCTCAATGGTGTTGCCTAGGTTTTCTTCTAGGATTTTTCTGGTTTTAGGTCTCACGTTTAAATCTTTAATGCATCTTGAGTTAATTTTTGTATAAGTGTCAGCAAGGGGTCTAGTTTCGGTTTTCTGCATATGACCAGGCAGAGTGAACAGGCAACCTACAGAATGGAAGAAAATTTTTGCAATCTATCCATCCGACAAAGGGCTAATATCCAGAATTTACAAGGAACTTAAGTAAATTTACAAGAACAAACAACCCCATCAGAAAGTGTGCAAAGGATATGAACAGACACTTCTCAAGACATTTATGCAGCCAACAAACATGAAAAAAACTCATCGTCACTGATCATTAGAGAAATGCAAATCAAAACCACAATGAGATATCATCTCACACCAGTTAGAATGGTGATCATTAAAAAGTCAGGAAACAACAGATGCTGGAGAGGATGTAGAGAAATAGGAATAGTTTTACACTGTTGGTGGGAGTGCAAATTAGTTCAACCATTGTGGAAGACAGTGTGGCGATTCCTCAAGGATCTAGAACTAGAAATACCATTTGACCCAGCCATCCCATTACTGGGTATATACCCAAAGGATTATAAATCATTCTACTGTAAAGACACATGCACACGTATGTTTATTTATTATTTTTGAGACGGAGTCTTGCTCTGTTGCCAGGCTGGAGTGCAGTGGCACGGTCTCGGCTCACTGCAACCTCCACCTCCCGGGTTCAAGCGATTCTCTTGCCTCAGCCTCCTGAGTAGCTGGAACTACAGGCACACACCACCACGCCCAGCTAATTTTTTGCATTTTACTAGAGAAGGGGTTTCACCATGTTGGCCAGAATGGTCTTGATCTCCTGACCTCGTGATCCACCCGCCTCAGCCTCCCAAAGTGCTGGGATTACAGGTTTGAGCCACCGCGCCCAGCCCCGAGCACATGTATGTTTATTGCGGCACTATTCACAATAGCAAAGACTTGGAACCAACCCAAATGCCCATCAATGACAGACTGGTTAAAGAAAATGTGGCACATAGACACCATGGAATACTATGCAGCCATAAAAAAGGATGAGTTCATGTCCTTTGCAGGATCATGGATGACACTGGAAACCATCATTCTCAGCAAACTAACACAGGAACAGAAAACCAAACACTGCATGTTCTCACTCATAAGTGGAAGTTGAACAATGAGAACATATGGACACAGGGAGGGGAACATCACACACCGGTGCCTGTTGGGAGGTTGGGGGCAAGGGGAGGGATAGCATTAGGAGAAATACCCAATGTAGATGACAGGTTGATGGGTGCAGCAAACCACCATGGCACATATATACCTATGTAACAACGCTGCACGTTCTGCACATGTATCCCAGAACTTAAAGTATAATAATAATAATAATAAAGGAATTGAGAGACTGTTGATATCAACTGTTCCCTGAGCCACATGGAAAGCTGTATCCTCTGCAGGCTGCTTGGTGAGTATGTGAGGAGGTATATTCATTCACTTTGAGACCTATTTCTCTAAGAAAGGGTCCTGAAAGGCTTTCCCCTGCTACAGGGACAGCCCTTGGCAAGGAAGCCACTGTCCTCAGGCACACAGGGCTCCTTCATCTCCTGCAACAGATACAGCCCTTGGCAAGGAAGCCACTGTCCTTGAGCACATAGACAGGGCTCCTTCATCTCCTGCAACAGGGACAGCCCTTGGCAAGGAAGCCACTGCCCTTGAGCACATAGACAGGGCTCCTTCATCTCCTGCAACAGGGACAGCCCTTGGCAAGGAAGCCACTGTCCTTGAGCACATAGACAGGGCTCCTTCATCTCCTGCAACAGGGACAGCCCTTGGCAAGGAAGCCACTGTCCTTGAGCACATAGACAGGGCTCCTTCATCTCCTGCGACAGGGACAGCCCTTGGCAAGGATGTCACTTCCTTGGGCACACAGACAGGGCTCCTTCAGCAGACAGCAGATAGATATGCAATGCAAGCCTTGGTTTTTTGGGATGATTCCAATGCAGCACCAGATACGTGTGTCCAATTCTGGGGTTTGCTCATAGGAAACCCATGTGCCAGCAAATCTATGTCACATTCTCCAGTATCACCTTTATAAGGAATAAAGTCAATTTACTGTTCTTCTGTAAAAAGAAAGAAACGTATTCATGACTGTAGCTTGGCTGTCACTCAAGTGCAAGTGAATGGTGGATGTGGCCGCGCGGCTCCACGCACTGATTCATAATCCCCAAAAGGGACAAGGGCAGACCCAGCTCTCTGCAGGGCAAACGCTCCACAACCCAAAACACTTGTTTCTGTTGTTGTTGCTGTTTGGAAACTCCCTCTTCTATTTCCCACCTCCCTCTTTCCCGTTCTCATTCCCTTTTCTCTGCTCCTATTTCTGTTTCCCTCAGTTCCACCTAATACCCCGTGGTGTCACCCTAGCCCTTTCCTCTACCCACTCCAGCCTTACTACCCCCAACGTCCCACACCCTGGGAAACACCAAGGTCTGCCTCTGTACCTCCAAGTTCTTTCCCCGTTATTGCCCTGGGTCAGTCCTTTGTGGGGGCTCCTCTCTCCTCTCTTGATTTCTTTTCATCTGGCTAACCTCTAATCCTGTAAGATTTACCTCAAATATCTTTCAAGAAGTATTTTCTGAATCCAAGGAGGACCTAAAAGCCATTCTGCTGGCCTCCCAGAGCTGAATCTGCCCATCTCCCCCGGATTATATTAAAATTATAAGTCATGTAAAATCCTTTTGGAACGAGACAGGGTATGATAAATAAGAAATATTCAACAAGTATACGTTACTTGTGTACACATACCACCTGACTTCTTTAACAACACATTGCAAGAAATAAAAAGATGGAGACATACGGCTGGGCGCAGTGGCTAATGCCTGTAATCCCAGCACTTTGGGAGGCCAAGGCAGGTGGATCACTGAGGTCAGGAGTTCGACACCAGCCTGGCCAACATGGTGAAACCCCCATCTCTACTAAAAATACAAAAATTAGCCAAGTGTGGTGGCAGGCACCTGTAATCCCAGCTACTCGGAAGGCTGAGGCAGGAGAATCTCTTGAACCCGGAATGCGGAGCTTGCAGTCAAGCAAGATTATGCCACTGCACTCCAGCCTGGGTGACACAGCAAGACTCCATCTCAAAAAAAAAAAAAAAAAGAAAAAGAAAAAGAAAAAACACCATGCATGCATACTCATATGAATGTACAAATGGATGAGTCTAGAACAAAAGATACTAGCCTGATACATATACAAACTATGCAGCTGCAGTCCCTGCCTCTTCCGCAACCCTGACCTCTAAGAAAGCTCTAACTCTGAATCCTGTCAGCACCTGGGCTGTGCTGCTTGGGACAACATTGTCTTCACAAGTCCTCTCCACATTCTCAGAGGTGGGGGTATTGCCAATGATGGGGGTTACTGCCTGAGTCCCGTCACCAGGGGACAAAGCTACAGCAGACACCACCATCTGCCAACAAAAAGAGAGATCATCTCCCACCCCTGGTTCTGCTGACGCAATCACTGGAAGCATCGAGGCACCACTATGTCCTCACCTGCCTCGGATTCAATTTCCTCCTAGCCAGGTCTGTTCTAAGGTCTCCAGAAGTTGAGAAATTAATTGAAAGATAACACTTTCCTCCCTGTGTTAAGGTTTATCACATAATGTATCCAAATACTGGGCCAGTCTTTCCTTTGGTCTCATTTCTATGAGCTAATCTGAAAATGCCTTTTCTGTTTTCCTTAGAATTTTTCTAAATGTTTCTGGGCGCTTGTGTTCCTGAGGCTTTCCACAGTGCACCCTCTTGTTCATCTGATGTCTTTGGCACATATAGGCCCTCGACAGGTAGTTGTTCAATGAACAGATGACCATCCTGTCCTTTGTGTGAACAAGCATAGCAAGTGCACATTGTATCTGTTTGTGTATCCAACAGCGTCCCTCCAAAGCCACTTTGTTCACTTATTTTCTCAGGATCACGGACGGCTGCATCTTGACATAAGCACACAGAATCTTTCCTTTTCCAGTCACTTTTCCTTTTTCCAGATTCCGGCCATAGAATTCCAGGCACAGAGCCAACCATGCCTGGCACCCCCTCCTGTCTTGGGACAAGGATACTTTCTCCTGTGGCTCCCATCTTGCTTCCAACATTCTTCTGCCAGAATTCAGTTTGGCGGACAATGACCTACTACTTTTAATTTTTTTCCCCTTTTTGCTCTTCTACCAAATACCGCTTTTCACCCAGGCTTTTCACTGCGTAGTGGACAATCTATCAAACAGGTGCTGTCCAGCGTGAGGGGCAGTTGCAAAGGTCTGCATCGGTGCTGGCTGATGGAACTTTCCGGTGATGGCATCATTCCGTAGCTGCACTGTCCAGTGAGGAGGCTACTTGCCACTGTGGCTACTGCTTGGGATGGTGCAGGTCTGAATATCTTACTCACAGCTCACCTTTTTGGTGCCTTTGATCCGTATTAGGAATTATCCACATCTTCTCTCTGGGCAATATTCTACTTTTTATATTGACCCAATTATTTTACTTCTTTGGTGTGTCCTTTCTCCTAACACATATGGGTTCACTTTGAAACCCTGAAACCCACATTTACAAAAACATTTTCAATATGAAACATTGTTCCATGACTCATTACTGGAGTACCATCAACATTTACATTTCCAGACCACCCACTGCCCAGTGGTTTTCTTGGTCTCAGTACTCATGAAAACGGTCTGAAGGTTTGTTTTGGGTTCCTAAGTAGTAGACACACGCACAACACTGCCTGTCAGTTATTTCTTGGAAACTAAATCAGCCCTTCTGTTGCCATCCTATCATGCTTCAGGGGTGCCTGTGCTAGTTTTTAATTCTTTGTCCTAACACTTAAATGTTTGCTCAAACGCCCATATTAATACTTCCTCTTAGTTTACAAAAGGATTTACTTTCTTACTGGTTGGGATGAAGCTGCCTGAGGTTGCCACCTGTTATTTTTCCTTCATTTATTGGACCATGTCATCCCATTACATGTTAGCCGTGGAGGTTTTCAAACTGTGTTCCCTGGACATGTTAGAAATGCAAATTCTCAGACCGAACCAGGACTGAATCGGAAGATCTGGGGTAGGGTCCCTCCAGGACTGAAAACGGAAGGTCTGGGGTGGGGTACCCCAGGACTGAATCGGAAGGTCTGGGGTGGGGTCCCCCCAGGACTGAATCGGAAGGTCTGGACGAGGGTCCCCCCAGGACTGAATCAGAAGATCTGGGGTAGGGTCTCCCCAGGACTGAATCGGAAGGTCTGGGGTGGGGTCCCCCCAGGACTGAATTGGAAGGTCTGGACTAGGGCCCCCCCAGGACCGAATCGGAAGGTCTGGACTAGGGTCCCCCCAGGACTGAATTGGAAGGTCTGGGGTAGCGTCCCTCCAGCTGATCCTGTTACACAGGTTAGAGAACCATGGCATTAGGGGTAGCAATTTGACAATTCTTTTTTTTTTTTTTTGAGACAGAGTCTCACTCTTGTTGCCCAGGCTGGAGTGCAGTGGCGCACTCTCGGCTCACTGCAACCTCCGTCTCCCAGGTTCAAGCAACTCTCCTGCCTCAGCCTCCTGAGTAGCTGGGATTACAGGCACCCATCATCATGCCTGGCTAATTTTTTGTATTTTTAGAGATGGGGTTTCACTATGTTGGCCAGGCTGGGACAATTCTTAAACTGTCATTCTTTACTCACTTACTTGCAGGAATTCTTATGTAAAGAACTTTCCCTAATCAACAAGGTTTCCCTGAATTGCAATTTGTAGAGAAAAGACAGGATAATTACTGATCTTCCTTCAAGTGTCCATTCCCAGTGTTAGGAGTTAGTGCCCTAGGTACCTCCAAGAGTGACCAATTACATGTGTTTGTTTGGTTTTGGCTTTGAAACCACCACTATGAATTCATGGTTTTCATGTATTAGAGACCACTTTCTAGGTGCTTGATGTGTCTACTGCTACTGGGGCAGAGGTAGAAAATGTGTCTACGGTAAAAGAACAACAAATGAGTTCACGCTTATATTTCTATTTCAAATTTAGTATACGGTTTTACACCTTTTTCTCAGAAAAATCTTGTTTTATTTTTTGAGATAGAGTTTTGTTCCTGTTGCCCAGGCTGGAGTGCAGTGGCACAATCTCGGCTCACTGCAATCTCTGCCTCCTGTTTCAAGCGATTCTCCTGCTTCAGCCTCCCCAATAGCTGGGATTACAGGCACCTGCCACCATGCCCAGCTAATTTTTCAATTTTAGTAGAGATGGCGTTTCACCATGTTGGCCAGGCTGGTCTCAAACTCCTGACCTCAGGTCATCTGCCCACCTCGGCCTCCCAAAGTGCTGGGACTTGGGAGGATTTTCCCTTGCCAGAAAAATCTTAGTTTTAGCATTAACATAATTAGTTATTTGCTTTAACTCCCACCCCACATAATTTCAAAGGATTAATACCTATAAGACGAGTAACGGAGATGATTGATTGAAATTTAGGATTCAGTGGCTCTATTTGTCTTTAGACTATGGCTCACTAAATCTGCACACTTGAAGTGCTGTGTTCTAGCGATCCTCTGATGACACATGAAGTAATAGGCTGCGTGACTGTCACCAGCCTGATGTGCAGTTGGGCTGCAGAACCCCGTGATGCTGCCTAGCCCAGCCAGCCCCAGGTCACTCCTCAGACTCAAACTCGATTCTGACACCACCAGCACCCGGGACGCTGCCTAGGGGCTTTCTCTGGTGGCAGCAGCATGTCCTGGAGCAGGCCAGGGGTGCCCGGAATTGACCATCCTGAACCTGTGCAGCGTGGGCTGGTGAAGGAACGCACCAGCTCCCACAGTGAACACGGGCCCAGCTGTCCACATGAGACCCGGCTCCCGGACGCCCCATGCTGCCGCCTCTTTCCTGTCTCACCTCCCACTTCCCTTCAGCTGCTGCTCAGGGCCACCTTCCAAATTTTTGTCTCAGGGTTGGCGCCTGTAGAATGCAATCCAAGGAATTTAGATTCATTCATTTCAGATACCATTCTTTCAATTTTAGGGACTATCTTAAAAACTTAGTTTGGTAATATGTAAAACACTTACAATTTCAAAGTCCAGATATTACTTCAGAGTCTATTTCGGTCTCACTTCCACCACTGACCCCTGTCCTCCACAGCAACCACTTTAGATTTTTATCTTTGTACTGTTTTAAGAAAAAGCAAATATATATTTGCATTATATTATATGTACTCTGCCCCTTATCAATAGGCGTTCCTCATTCCTCCTTCTGGTACGGAGTTCCCCACTGCACGAATTAATGTTCCTAATCCCTTACTGATGGACATTTTGATTGTTTCCAGTTTTACAAATGCCACAGTGAAGAACTTTGTGGCAAACACATTCAGGCTGTGAAAAGAACTCTGTGGATAAAGTCCTTTCATTTCTTTGCCAGAGTTTTTTTTGAGGCAGATTCTAGAATTGCTGAGTCTAAGGGCAAATGCCATGTCGTTTTGTTAGATGCTGCCAAATCCTCTTCCATGAGGCTGCAACGTTCTGCATTCCACAGTGACGTATGAGAGTCCTTGTACCCCACAGCTTCATAAACAAAGCATGACAGCAAACCTGCACGTTTACCCATCACACAGTTGAGAAATTTTATCTACTTTCACCTTTTTTTTTGGTTAGCATTTTTATTCCCAGCTTTTTTGTGGTATAATGCGCAGAAGGTAATGAACACATTCTACCTGCAAGCTTCTTCCTGTGCCTTTGGAATCTGCTCCTGCCAGTCTGCAGGGAACCACGGATCTGCTTTCCGTCACGTAGGAGGCATTCTCGACACCCTCTGTACACAGCATGCGCTTTATTTGGCTTCTCTTACGCAGCGTAGTGACTTTCAGATTTATTCAAGCTGCTGCGTGCGCCAACAGTCCACTCCTTCCTAGTGCTGAGGCCCCCATCACATGAGCACAACTGTTTCTTGTGTGTGATGTGTTGTCCTCTGGCTGTGCACTGCCAAAAAAGACATCATTAAAAAAAATTTAAATATAATGTAAGACCTGCCTTGTCTTAGGAAACGTTTTTCTGGCAGTGGCTCACACCTATAATCCCAATACTCTGGGAGGCTGAGGCAGGAGGACTGCTTGAGCCCAGGAGTTTGGGACCAGCCTGGGCAAGAGGGTGAAACCCTGTCTCTAAAAATTAGCCAGGCATGGTGGCTCACACCTGTAGTCTCAGCTCTTAGGGAGGCTGAGGTGGGAGGACTGCTGGAGCCCAGGAGGTGGAGGCTGCAGTGAGCCGAGATCACACCACTGCACTCCAGCCTGGGCAGCATGGCAAGACTCTGTCTCGACCAAGAAAAAAACAAAAAATTAACAGAAGGAAAAACAAAACGGCTTTCTTATCAAAAATACACTTTAAGAACAAATTTATAATATTAAGTTGCTGCAAAAGTAATTGTGCCTTTTACCATTGAAAGCAATGGCAAATACTGCAATTACTTTTGCTCCAACCTAATATTATTTTCTAATGACAAACTTGGAAATAACTGTCATTGCTCTCTAAAAAGAACAGCCTAAAAATAAAGCAGCAGCCCATTTACTTCTATGCCAGTTCTTTTAGCATTTGGTTATTTAAACCGGCAGTCCCTAACCTTTTTGGCACCAGGGACTGGTTTCACGGAAGACACTTTTTCCACTGACAAGTGTGGGGATGGTTTGGAGATGAAACGGTTCCATCTCAGATCATCAGTATTAGATTCTCATAAGCGGGGCATAACCTAGATCCTTCTCATGCGCAGTTCACAACAGGATTCCACTCCTATGAGAATCTAATGCCACCACTGATCTGACAGGAGGCGGAGCTCACACAGCAATGATATGACAGGGGCGGAGCTCACAATAATGATATGACAGGGGGCGGAGCTCACACAGTAATGATATGACAGGGGGCGGAGCTCACACAGTAATGACAGGGGGCGGAGCTCACACAGTAATGATGACAGCGGGCGGAGCTCACACAGTAATGCTCTGGCAGGGGGCGGAGCTCACACAGTAATGCTCTGGCAGGGGGCGGAGCTCACACAGTAATGATGACAGGGGGCGGAGCTCACACAGTAATGATGACAGGGGGCAGAGCTCACAGTAATGCTCTGGCAGGGGGCGGAGCTCACACAGTAATGCTCTGGCAGGGGGCGGAGCTCACACAGTAATGCTGACGGGGGTGGAGCTCACACAGTAATGCTGACAGGGGGTGGAGCTCACACAGTAATACTCTGGCAGGGGGCGGAGCTCACACAGCAATGCTCTGACAGGGGGCAGAGCTCACACAGTAATGCTCTGGCAGGGGGCGGAGCTCACACAGTAATGCCGACGGGGGTGGAGCTCACACAGTAATGCTGACAGGGGGTGGAGCTCACACAGTAATACTCTGGCAGGGGGCGGAGCTCACACAGCAATGCTCTGACGGGGCAGAGCTCACACAGTAATACTCTGGCAGGGGGCGGAGCTCACACAGTAATGCTCTGACAGGGGGCGGAGCTCACACAGTAATCTCTGGCAGGGGGCGGAGCTCACACAGTAATGCTCTGCCAGGGGGCGGAGCTCACACAGTAATGCTCTGCCAGGGGGCGGAGCTCACACAGTAATCTCTGGCAGGGGGCGGAGCTCACACAGTAATGCTCTGACAGGGGGCGGAGCTCACACAGTAATGCTCTGGCAGGGGGCGGAGCTCACACAGTAATGCTCTGGCAGGGGGTGGAGCTCACACAGTAATGCTCTGGCAGGGGGCGGAGCTCACACAGTAATGCTCACTGGCTGGCTGCTCACCTCCTACTGTGTGGCCTGGTTCCTAACAGGCCATGGACTGGAACAATCTGTGGCCTGGGGATTGGGGACCCCTGATTTAAAGAATCGAGGACACACTCACCTAGCAAACCATCTGCTAAGAAAAAAGGAGGAAAAGCACCAACATTAATTTGAACTTAGAAATAAACTACAAGGCCAGACATGGTGGTTCACACCTATAATTCCAGCACTTCGGGAGGCCAAGGAGGAACGATCACTTAAGCCCAGCAGTTTGAGACCAGCCTAGGCAACAAAGTGAGACCCTGTCCCTACAATTACAAAATAAATGAGCTGGGCGTGGTGGTGCACACCTGTAGCCCCAGCTACTTAGAAGGCTGAGTCGGGAAGATCACCTGAGCTGCCCAGGAGTTTGAGGCTGCAGTGAGCTGAGACTGCACCAACCCTGTCTCAAAAAAAAAAAAAAAAAAAAGAAACTGCAACAAAATATCTGGATTTTGATGTAACAGAATACAAAGATAATTACATTTGATTTTTAGGTCAACAAATATGACAAGTCATAACAGGAAAATATTTTAAATGGATTTGGAAATAAAAGAAAGTTTGTTCATTTATATTTTATTTAACAGCTGTGCCCAGTTTTATCTTGTCACAAGAATGAAGCAAGGGACAAAGGTAAGTGCCACGCTCCCCGGCCACTGGGTGCCAATCCCCCTTCAATGTACTCCTTCTTCCCCAGAGTGCAGAAGCGTATAAAGACAGTTATGACATTGACACATGCATGAGCTATTATACATAATTACAAAAGCTGATTCTGTCATCACCACATCTTGTCTCATCAGTAGGAGTGAATGGCTGGGGGGACAGTGGCACAGTCAGCCTCGTTCAAAGTTTTGTCAATTATGGGTCTATATTCCACAGTGACCTTGAAAAGAAGTCAGTGGTAAGTTAAGCACAAAAATGTACAAAAAGCCATCTCTTGTGTTCCTTTTGAAAAATTTTAACTATAAAAGTAGATTTACGGCATGTGAACTTTAAGGTATTTGCTGCAGTATTTTCCAATAACAAATTCAAAAATGATCTACATGCGCAACAGGGGACTGTAAATGACGGCAGATCGGTAGAGTGGAACAGAGCAACGAAAATGACACTGTACCAGATTCTCAGTGCTTTGCTTTACAAAAATGCTCCCATCATGAAAAGTGGGAGAACCCTTGTCTATACCAAGACACTTCATGTTTAAACTATCTACTTCCAGTTTTTCTACTTCAAAGTAAATATTTATATAGGTAGAACATCCCTAATCCAAACATCTGAAATTCTCCCAAATCTGAAACTTTCTGAGCACCAGCATGACATTCAAAAGAAATGTGCTATGGAGTCAGATCTTCCGATTAAGGATGCTCAGACAGTAAGTGTAATGCAAATATTCCAAAGTCTGAACAAGCCTGAAATCCAAAACACTTCTGGTCCCAAGGATTTCAGAGAAGGAATACTCAAGCCGTGTATTAAATATGCACACACAGGAAAAGGTAGGCACATATACAAAGAAATTTAAACCATAATGGGTCATCTCTGGTTAGTGAGCTCTTATTTCAATCTCTTTGTACTTTCTAAAATGAGTATGTATTTCTTCAAAAATCACTGAAACTGGCTGGGCGTGTTGGTTCATGCCTGTTGGGGAGGCCAAGACAGGTGGATCACTTGAGCTCAGGAGCTCAAGACTAGCCTGGGCAACGTGGCAAAACCCCGTCTCTACAAAACATACAAAAATTAGCCAGGCATGGTGGCATGTGCCCGGGAGGCTGAGGTGGGAGGATCACCTGAGCCGAGGGGAGGTTGAGGCTGCAGTGAGATGAGATCGAGCCACCACATTTCAGCCTGGGCAAAAGAGATGAGACTCTATCTCAGAACAACAAAAACAAAACAAAAAACCTGAACCCGGAAACATTAAAAATAGACTTGTGCTAAGCGAGTGAAGTGTGACCTCTCTATACTATCAGGAAATGGCCTTCATGATAAATTCTGAAAATGACCCACTGCCTGAATCACAGACACACTAGATGATAGTGAGAGTCCAAAGGTAACTTCCACAGACACAGCTAAGTGATTATACGACTCTCCCTTACAAGTTATGAAAAGCTTAAGGGTAAAAGCTTTCTATCTTCATGATTTCTGAATCTCAATGCCCAGTGGAAATGCCACACAGGTGAACTGTGCTTGTGTGGAACAAGCTGCAACCCCCTACCACACCCTCGGCTGGCTGTTCCCAAGACGCTGTGCTTGTGTGGAACAAGCTGCAACCCCCCTACCACACCCTCGGCTGGCTGTTCCCAGGACGCTGCTTACCCCAACCCTGCCTCCATTTCTGCCCTTCTCTGCTTGCTCAGTGCCCAGGGGATGCTAAGGGCTGCACCACATCCCCTCTGCTCCCCTGCAGATGCTTCCAGTTGGCCCAGCCCATGGGAAGAGAGGGGAGGGGTCTCTTCTGGGCTCCCTTGGCTCGGGACTGGTTTCTGGTAGTGGCTCTGTCCCCACCACACAGATGCTGACTTTCTCGCTAGGTCCACAATCATCATCTCCTCCCCTGCCACCAGGCCTTGGACACTTGCTCCTGCCCAGTGACTTCCATCTGGCCCACACCACAGAGCAACCCTTCCTTAAGGCTCCTCTGAACCACCTGCAGGCACTGGATTCTGTTTCCAGCCCGAAGCCCGACTGCTGTCAGAGTGCCTTTTTCAGCGGTGCCTCAAATCTGTCGGGAGTTGATTTAAATCTGGCCTGCTCCTCCGCGTTCACCATCAGCAAGGCCAGCCCGCAGACCTGGGCGGGGCCGTGTGGGTGCTGGGCTGTGGTGAGAACGAGCTCCACACTGACCTTCCCAGTGCCGACGTCCACATAGGACAGGGTGTGCTTCCTCCAGTGCACCTCAAAGGGCTTCTTCTGTTGCCCCTGGATGGGCTTGGAGTGATCATACTCATCAATCTGCACCTGAGGCCAGAAACACCATCACATTTCTCATTACTCTAACAGAGCAATACAGAAAAAACACAGCAAACATTAAAATGATCTAAGAGACAGATGCCCTAGAACCCATTCCATTTCCACTTCAGCCCAGGAGGTTGGCACCATCAACACGTTCAGAACCCACAGAGGCCACATGGCTGGCCAGCGATGTGCAGCCAGCAGTGAGTCCAGAGTAATCCATGTCCGCATGTTCCCTTAGACATCCTTTATGTACCTAAGAGTTTATCAAATACTTTGTCTTTTTGCTCCAAGCGCTGGGAGACTACCTCCATCTTTTCTTTCAGCCTGTTTTTATTAAAAACACTTTTTTTCTCTTTTGAGACAGGGTCTCGCTATGTCACCTGGGCTGGAGCGCAATGGTGTGATCACAGCTCGCCAGAGCCTTGACTTCCCGGGCTCAATCAATCATCCTGCCTCAGCCTCCTGAGCAGCTGGTACCTCAGGTGTGTACCACCACGCCTGGCTAATTTTTTAATTTTTGTAGAGACAGGTTTCGCCATGTTGCCCAGGCTGGTCTAGAACTCCGGGGCTCAAGTGATCTGCCTGCCTCAGCCTCCCAAATGCTGGGATTACAGGTGGGAGCCACTGCACCTGGCTTCTATTCTAATTAAAACTCGTTGTCACCAACTAAATTTATGCTCCTGGCCAGGCACAGTGGCTCATGCCTGTAATCCTAGCACTTTGGAAGGCCAAGGTGGGTGGTTCACTTGAGGTCGGGAGTTCGAGACTAGCCTGGCCAACATGGTGAAACCCCGTCTTTACTGAAAATACAAAATTAGCCGGGCACGGTGGCATGCGCCTGTAACCCCAGCTGCTTGGGAGGCTGAGGCAGGAGAATCACTTGAACCTGGGAGGCAGAGGTTGCAGTGAGCTGAGATCGCGCCGCTGCACTCCAGCCTGGGGGACAATGAGACTCCATCTCAAAAAATTAAAAATAATAAATTTATTATTATTCTGTATTCTGGCAAACACGGATTCATATACTTTGCAGGAAAGACTCTTAATATGTATGAGGAGACGAGCAAATTCTGAGCAGTGATCACAGCCATCAGCATATTCTAGTGGAGGGTAAATCAGTAAAATTTCATGGTGAATAAAAATGATTTTCCCATTCACTGTGTTCAGCTGACTGGAAAGGCTGCCACCAGCCGCCCACACATGGCCCTGAACCAGCCTGTGCGCCTGCCTTGTGGAGCCTTTGTCCTTTTGCCGATGTGGTTTATCCTGAACTTGCATTTGCACCCCAAGCTTCCCTTTCCGTCGTTTTTTGCTATCATATGTGAAAAACTCTTACCAGGCAGAATCCAACACGTGTGCTCTGCACAAAAATCAGTTCATCTGAAGAACAAGTGACCACAGGGCAGTCTCCGTAATCAAACCACAGGACAGGCTCTATAATACCTTTTCCAAACCACAGGACAGGTTGGAAACAGTGGCTTACTCGTTATTTAGTAAACTGGCATTTCCTCCACAAGGCAGGTCTGAAACGGTGACTTACTTGTTATTTAATAAACTGGCATTTCCTCCACAGGGCAGGCTTGAAACGGTGGCTTACTCGTTATTTAATAAACTGGCATTTCCTCCACAGGGCAGGCTTGAAACGGTGGCTTACTCGTTATTTAATAAACTGGCATTTCCTCCACAGGGCAGGCTTGAAACGGTGGCTTACTCGTTATTTAATAAACTGGCATTTCCTCCATAGGGCAGGCTTGAAACGGTGGCTTACTCGTTATTTAATAAACTGGCATTTATTTCCTGGTCATGCCACGCTGGCTGCACTTCTAACCTTGGCCTTCTAACAGCAAAGCACATTGGCTTGGAGATGCCACTGCTGGCATCAGTGGATGCCGACCCAAAGCAAGGAACAGGTCACAGTGATCCAGAAAATGGCGAGAACCCAGGGATCAAAGTTACCAGAGGGAAAAAGGCATTTTTTGGATATACTTTTGGGGAAACGACATAAAATGCAGAGAAAATGCAGGGGTGGGGCTGAGTCCCACCAGGCGGGAGGAAAAGGCAGGTGCAGGTGGGCGTGGCGAGAAGGCGCACCTTGTAGTCTTCCCCGGCGTGCGCGCCCCGTGACTCCTTCCCCGCCTCTGCTCCATTGACGGTCTGCAGCGCACATAGCATCAGGTTCTGCAGCTCCAGGGTCTCCACCAGGTCCGTGTTCCAGACCATTCCTGGGGACACAAAAAGTTCCATCAGGGGCAGGTGGGACCCAGTCACACGGGCCCTCCGAGCTGTCAGCCTGGGCCTGCTAGTCCATGGAGTCACTGGTTGTGGCTTTACAGCTGGGGGCCAGCACCCATCCAGACAGCAAGCATGGAACTAAGTCAGCACTGACGGGACAGACACCAGCCCACCCTGCAGAAGGCAGGGCCCAACAGTGTGCACAGAGCCCACTGTCTGCTCACCCCGGTCAAACGTCTTCAGATGCTTCAGGTCTCCATAGAGCTTGCTGATTTTCCCACAACCTTCTTGCAACAAGCTTCCCACACGGAACACGGCAGCATGATTTTGCGTTGACTGTGGCACAAAATATTATTTGTAAACTTTTAATTCATAGAAGCAGCCATACCAAGAACTGCTTAACTTTTAGACCTGTTGTTTTGCATTTCATTTTATTTATGTAAATTAAACAGAAAAATTAGGAAATTTAGACTATGAGTTTATTACTCTGAACTTAAAAATGAAGTCTTGACTAAAGCTTCTGAATAAATGTTTCTATTATATACATATCTTAGACCCACACACATCCTTTCCAGCGGGATACAGCCAGGGTCCAGGACGCCAAGCAGACTGCCTGTGAGGCACCACGTTCCATACGGCTCCACGGCCAACCAGGCAGCACTGCCTCCCCACACCCCTGGCGGGACTCCTGATGTGGGGTCTGGTGGTGAACGTGACACGAGCCAGCAGCCCTGTGGTGATACACACAAGGAGGAACTGAGCAGAGCCCTGCTGATGGTGGGGTTGGAACCGAAGGTCTTCAAGGAGAGGGAGGGGCGTGGGTGGCTGGGGCCCTTGGCCCATCTGGCTACTGTCTTCTGCCTATTTTGTAGAAGCTCCTTGTACACTGAGTTCCTTCATAGTTTTACTATCACGAGAAACGTGCTAGGAGTGGACCTGAAGTTTACTTAGGTATGCTGGGAACTGGGCATCAGCTTTTGCTTCCTGTGGGACACACAGGCACCACCTCCGTGATCCCTCCTCCTCCTTGCTTCTCCCTCTAACTGTGCTTTGCTCCACTGACCCTAATTGTCTCTTCCTCTACCAATGCACCTTCGTGGTTCAATTTGGACATTTCATCTGATTTTCCTTAGACTCATACATAATCGTAACACTGTAATGCACATCAACCTAATGGTTTTTCAGGAAGAACAAATGAAAAAAATTGCATCTCAGAATCTAGTATTACATTCTTTCATGTCCTTTAGCAGCGACGTTTTCATATCATCTTTTCGTATTTCTGGTTACATTATTTCAAGGCATTTTAAATTTTTTGTTTGAAATGCGAATGAGATATTTACTGATGTCTGAGCAGATTACTGCTGGCACATTGCAAAGCTACTGATTTTTACATACAAATCTCTTATACACATACCTTACTACATTCTTGTTTTGTTTCTGTTAGTTTTTCCGTTTATTCTCTGGAAATTTTTTGGAAATTATATCTGTAAATAATGGCAACTGTATCTATTCCTTTTCAATATTTACTGCCAAGACCAGCTGGGTCATGGAAACCCTAACCCAGTGGCACTAGAGGAAGTAAAGACACACACACAGAAATATAGAGTGTGGAGTGGGAAATCAGGGGTCTCACAGCCTTCAGAGCCAAAAGCCTCAAACAGAGATTTACCCACGTATTTATTGACAGCAAGCCAGTGATAAGACTTACTGAAAGTATTCCTTACAGGAAATAAAGGGATGGGTCTGGCTAGTTATCTGCAGCAGGAGCATGTCCTTAAGGCACAGAGCGCTCATGCTATTGTTTGTGGTTTAAGAAGGTCTTAAGAGGTTTTCCACTCTGGGTGGGCCAGGTGTTCCTTGCCCTCATTACGGTAAACCCATAACCTTCCTGCGTGGTCGTCCTGGCCATCACGAGCACGTCACATGCTGCAGAGATTTTGTTTATGGCCAGTTTTGGGGCCAGTTTATGGCCACATTTGGGGGCCTGTTTCTATCAATTTACCTCATTTCTTTTTTTGATTGTTACTATTAATAGCCAGAGTCAGCAGAAAAATCCCTTCCCCCAACGAAATGCATTTCCGCAAGCATAGGAAGCTCTGTTTGTTCAGTGCTGACTCCGGCACCTCACGGAGCCTGGGATACAGCAGGCACCAAGACACACCTTGTTTGGTGGGAACACTTCTAGTATTCTCACTTCAAACTATCTCAGATTTGCCATTTCTATATCCTAAGGCATGTTCCCATTCTCTAACGCAAGGGTTCCTTCTTTCCCAGCTGGCCTCCAACCCTACAAAAGCACTGCAGGGCATCACTCAGCCTTCTGTGCCTTAGTCACGCTGTTCTTCTCACCGTTCCACAAAACCTCCCTCAAGCCCAGCCTCACCTGAAGACCGAAGGGCACGGGCCTCTGAAAATTGTCAGCAGGGAACCTGTTCTCTTGTGTCTAACACCAAATGCCTTTCAGAATAGGACTAAAGCAGTGGACTTCTTTCTAGAAAATACGCAGAAATTCTTGCAAATAGCAGACAAGAGATCTCATTCATGGACAAGAATCCTTGTTATTAGAGGAATTGAGTTTCTTAGACTGACTATATATCAGGTTCTCCACGGCCCCATGGCTAATGGCTGCCATACTGGACGGCAAACACTCAACATTTCCATCATCACAGACGGTCCTACTGGACCGACTCCCAGCAGCACAGGCCGCACAGATCACTGTCCACCTGCCGCCCACTCTCCCTCTCTGCTGAGTATATTTAGGGGCAGCAACAGGTCTAGCTTAAAGACGTTTCCGAGCTGCTGGAAGCCAGGCATGATGACATGATCAATATCTGGGCCTGAGATGTAAGCACCAGTGTTGTGTTGAACTCCAGGAAACCTCTAAGAGAAAGCTGCCCTGCTGGGGACGGAGCTTCTCCGGCAGTCCTGCGGCTCCCTCTCCTCCACACTGTGACTCATCCATGACAGCCAGCGACGGTCAGGGCACGGAGGTCATGCCCAAGCACACACGAGTGAACCACAGAAGGCTGTCCTGGATGCTAAGCAGTCACTAATTCTGCCCTGGCCTGCTGACCTTCTATGTGGAGAAGAAGTGCACTTCTGGTCTCTTTCATATTCTTGATACAGTGAGGAGTATGTCCTACTGCTGTTTACCTCCACATACTGGTGCAGCCTCGTATGTTTATTGCAGCACTAGTCACAATAGCAAAGTCATGGAATCAACCTAAGTGCCCATCAACGGACGACCGGATAAAGAAAATGTGGTACATATATACCATGAAATACTACTTGGCCATAAAAAAAGAATGCAATCATGTCTTCTGCAGCCAGACGGATGGAATGGGAGGTCACTATCCTAAGTGAGTCAGAAGGTCAAGTGTCACACATTCTCCCTTGGAAGTGGGAGCTGAACGGTGAGTACACATGGACACACGGAGTGGACTAACAGACTGTGGGCTCCAAAAAGCGGGAGGGGTGGGGATGAGCAATTACCTGCTGAGTACAACACACACGACTTGGGTGACAGGTACATGAAAAGCCCAGACTCCACCACCTCCCAGTACATCCACACAAAGCTGCACCTGCATCCCCCTAGATCTGTTTTTAAAAAAACAAAACCAGTGCAGGGCCAGGTATGCAGCCAGCCTGCTCACTCCAGAGCGAGTCCAGGCTCTTACCTTCTGCATGCTGAGTCGCAGTTCCGATGTTCTTATGCTTCTTCCATCAGCAAATCTCAATTTGTCAAGATTCGTGACAGATTCTTCCCCAGCATTTGGTTTAATTGGAGGGACTTTATCTCCTAAAACAACAACAAAAAGAGCTAGAATTTAACTTTTGAAAACCGTTTTAAAAAAACAAATGGATTTAGTACTACACACAAAAATGTAGCATAGCCGCTCAAGGAGCCTGGAAACGGTGTAAGTCTCCTGAGCTAACACACTGCCAACCCACCCTACATCTGAGGCCATCTGTTGAGTTGGGGCCAATTTTAAAGAACAGACATAAAAGGCAAAACTGTTGGCACACAGTAGATATCCATTAAGTGATCTTAGAGTGAATAAACTAGAAATCATCTCTAAAATTAAAAAATTAAAATGTAGGCCAGGTGCAGTGGCTCACGCCTGTAATCCCAGCACTTTAGGAGGCTGAGGTAGGTGAAGCACTTGAGGTCAGGAGTTCAAGAGCAGCCTGGCCAACGTGGCAAAACCTCATTTCTACTAAAAACACAAAAATTATCTGGCATGAGAACTGCTTTAACCCGAAAGGTGGAGGTTGCAGTGAGCCGAGATCGCGCCACTGCACTCCAGCCTGGGCAACAGAGCGAGACCCTGTCTTACAAAAAAAAAAAATTAAATGTATACAGATTTATATACATTAAGTGTATATAAATGTCACTCCACTAACGGGAAAAAATGACACCTTCCAGATGGTGGTCCCAAGGGGCCGGCCGCCCCACTGTCCTTCACATTAGGGGGAGGAAGGTGGCTGCTGTGTGCTTGCAAGTCACCTGCTGATTTGGACTGTTGTGTGCTCTCACCTATACTTCAAGATTTGCAATTTTTTTTTTTTTTTTTTGAGATGGAATTTTGCTCTGTAGCCCAGGCTGGAGTGCAGTGGCACCATCTCGGCTCACTGCAACCTCCACCTCCTGGTTCAAGCAATCCTCCTGCCTCAGACTCTGGAGTAGATGGGACTACAGGAGTTTGCAACCATACCTGGCTAATTTTTGTATTTTCAGTAGAGATGGGGTTTCACCATGTTGGCCAGGCTGGTCTCGAACTCCTGACCTCAGGTGAGCCACCTGCCTCAGCCTCCCAAAGTGCTGGGATCACATGTGTGAGCTGCTGCGCACGGCCAAGATTTGCAACTCTTGTGTTTCCAAGATGTCTTGAAAAAAGTTTTAAAGGTTTTTTTTTTTTATAAAATTATATGTATTTTTTCTTCAATAGGTAACACATGCAGGAGATAGGAGGTATGAAATGCAGGAGTCAAACAGGCCCTGTCCCGCCTACCGCCTCTCCTCGGGACCAGGCTGTGGGTCTCTTGACGGTCTGCTCAAATGCTTCTAGGCTTGCTGGTGTCTCTTTTCCTTTTGTTTATAACGCTTTAAAAATTGATCATCCATTAAAATTGACTTTTTTCTTTCGGTGGACAGTTCTACAGTTTCTTTTTTCTTTTTTTTTTTTGAGACAGTGTCTCCTCCCTCTGTTGCCCAGGCTGGAGTGCAGTGGTGTGATCTCGGCTCACAGCAACCTCCGCCTTCTAGGCTCCAACAATCCTCCCACCTCAGCCTCCCAAGTAGCTGGGACTACCCAAGTGTGAGCCACCATGCCCAGCTAATTTTTGTATTTCTGGTAGAGACGGGGTTTCACCACCTTGCCCAAGCTGGTCTCGAACTCCTGAGCTCAAGCAATCGGCCTGCCTTGGCCTCCCAAAGTGGTGGGATTATAGGTGTGAGCCACTGCACCCGGCCTCAGTTCTACCGATTTTAACACATGGATAGATGCATGTAACCACTTTGGGAGGCTGAGACAGGAGGATCACTTGAGGTCAGGAGTTCAAGACCACCCTGGGCAACACAGGGAGACCCTGTCCCTAGAATACATTTTTAAAAATTAGCCAGATGTGGTGGCGTGCACCTGATCGTACCACTGCACTCAAGCCTGGGTGACAGAGGGAGACTATGTCTAAAAATACACATATATATATTTTTGGGGGGGTCGGGGGTTGGGGGAGAAGTAGGGATGCTACAAGCATTTTTTCTTTCCTTTTCATTTTTAAAAATTAAAGCGTAAAGATACAGTAAAATAAACTCATCATTTTTAATGTAGGTTTTTCAAACTTTGACACACACAGAGCTGTGTCTGTAAGCCTCAGCACAATCAGGAAACAGCCTCTGGCAACCACCAATCCCTTTTCTTCCCTAGATGTGCCTTGTCCAGAATGTCCTATCAACAGGACCACAGGCGTGCAGCCTTTTGAGTCCGACTCCACAGCATTCTGCGTGAGATGCTGCATGTGTGAGCGGTTTCTCAGATGTCAAGTATAGGGTATTCTCACAAAATGTTCTTTTCTGCATTTTCAAAGAAAGAGAAGCTCAAAATTTCTACACTGCTCTGAGAGAAGTGGTATCAGACCTCACTGCGACAAAGTGCAGGGCTATGGAGTGAGACAAGCACAACCTGTGGCGTCAGGAGCGAGGCACCTGAACTCCGCCTTCGCCGATGATCAGCAACGGCTGGGGATGAGACGCCGGCTCTGCATGTGCTGGCCTCCTGAGCTGTCGTCAGATCCACAGAGACACAGTGTCTGAAGTAGCTACCCTTTTAATACTGCCTGTACCTTTCTAACTACAGATAGAAAAGGGTCATGTTTATAAGGTACGGCGGTGCTAGTTTTTATTTCACTTGAGTCCATACAAAAAGCAAAAAGCGCCTGTTCTATAAAAACAGCAGAAATGATGCTAAACAGTTAACACCAGAGAAAGCTAACGGGAAGAACGTGGGCCTGGGGTCCCACCATCCTTGCCACGCAAACATCCACCAGTGCCTCATCCACCTCACACTGTTCTGAGCACACGAGGCTGCATGACCACCGTGAGGATCTCTGGAGGTGGGAACGATGCTAACTGTCCTGTTCTTCGTGCACATAAGACTCACACTCCCACACACGGTATTCCTTTTCCTGCACATTATTTGACGCTATCCTGAAAAGAAAACCAGCAAGTGAAATCGAATCTGTCCGTAGAGGGTGGGAATCCTGTTCACTCTAAGTCAGCCCTTCTCCTCTAATAGAGGTTAGTTGTACTTTTAGAATGGCCTAAATTATTTTTCTAAGTACCAAGAAGTTACATATTCATTCATGCCAACTATTTTAAATATTTCATTGCAAATAAGTGATTTTTATCAGGCAAGTAATACGTAATGAACTTCCCCTAAAAATAACAGCTTCCTAATAGTGCTTTTTCTAAACAGAAAATAATGACTGCAAAATAATTTAAAAAAAAAAAATGTAACCCCAAAAATGTCACCTTAACTGTTAAGATCCCCAACCAGCCTCTATCTAGTCTCAACATTACCACCATATAATCTCTGGATTTCTCAGTTTAATCACTTCTAGGGGAAAAAACCCAGACTACCTCTATATGCTCACTACGCAAATTTCCAGTAAGAAATCAAGGCTTTGTAACCTGGCTGGGTGCAGTGGCTCATGCCTGTAATCCCAATACTTTGGAAAGCTGAGGCAGAAGACTGTTTGAGTCTAGGAGTTCAAGACCAGCCTGGGCAATATTGTGAGACCCTGTCTCTACCAAAAAAAATTTTTTTAAATTAGCCAGGTGTGGTGGTGCACATCTGTAGTCCCAGCTACTTGGGACTCTGAAGGTTGAGGTGTTGAGGACTGCTTGAGCTCGGGAGGTTGAGGCTGCTATGACTGTGCCACTGCACTCCAGCCTGGGCTGACCCTGTCTCAAAAAAAAAGAAAAAAGACTAACCTCCTGCGCCTTCTCAAATAGTCTGGGTCCTGAAGAAAACACTTACCAGGCCTGCACGACTCTGCGATGCTCAGGGCACATGCCTGACCAGACAACCAGGTCCAACAGCGAGTTTGCCCCGAGGCGGTTGACACCATGTGCAGAGGCACAGGCGGCCTCCCCACAGGCGTACAGGCTGGGCACAATCTGATCCTGGCCATTCCCGTGCCTCAGGACCTGTGGAAAGGAAGATTTCAGGTGAAATGTCAAGATGCCCATTCCTCCACAAGCCCACCTCCCTCAACAGGGTGTCTGTGCTGCAGGTCAGAGAAAGAGAGGGAAGTAGGTCGGGCATGCAGTGGCTCACGCTTGTAATCCCAGCACTTTGGGAGGCTGAGGCGGGTGGATCACCTGAGTTCAGGGGTTCGAGACCTGTCTGGCTAACATGGTGAAACCCCGTCTCAACTAAAAATATAAAAATTAGCCAGGCATGATGGCAGGTGCCTGTAATCCCAGCTACTCGGGAGGCTGAGGCAGAAGAATCGCTTGAACCTGGGAGGCGGAGGTTGCAGTGAGCCGAGATCGCGCCATTGCACTCCAGCCTAAGCGACAGAGCGAGTCTCCATCTCCAAGAAACAAAGAGAGGGAAGTAAAGACCATATCTAAGAAGGAAGTAAGGACCATAGCTACTCTTCTTCAGAAGGAAACTTCCGAATGTATACCCCAGTTTCCCCTCTGCCCCTGAGCACCTGCTGTTACAAGCAGGTCAGAGGGCCTCCAATGTCAGCATCTGCGACTGTCCCCCGTGTCCCATGTTCCCGAGGCCCTCACCACCTGTGCTCCAGCTCAGACCCAGGAGCACGGCAGGTGGAGGAACATCAGCAGGGGAGACTGATGTTCCAGACTCTTCTACCCCCTGTTCACCTCTTCATCTATGCGGGGAAAGTAACAGCTTCCACCCACCTCGCCCAACAAGGAGGCTAAGTGACTGACAAGCTCTGTGTGAACCGCAAACCACTCACAGGTATGAATTATAAAGATCCTTCGATGTACAAGATCATTAGAAATAGGAATTATAAAGATCCCTTGATGTATAAGCTCATTAGAAATAACACAAGATCATATAGGAAAGTAATTATAAAATGGGAAAAGCTGCAAATGATGTATCTATGACAGTTTACTAAGGAGGAATAAATTATTAAGCCTCCTTCCATCCTCCAGTGATAGAAATTTCAAGTGCAATTTAGCAAACAATACAGTACTTTCTGGAAGGAAACATCTGTCTCTTCCTCTAAGATCTAAAGAGACAACTGCGAGATGGGCCCCATTGTCCCAGCCTTCTTTCCAGCTGTGGGAGAGAAGCCAGCACCATCACCTGCCCCTCGTAGCTGGTGGGAATGCCGTCCATGTTATAATGCACGGTGGGGAGGACAGGGATCGGCTCCTTCGTGACGTCCACACCAGCGAAGATCATGGCTGTCTCTGAAATGCCGGGCAAGGGCATGGCCAGCTGCTCTGGAGGTAGGTGGTGCAGCTGCAGGTAGACGTGATCTTTCTCAGGGCCACAGCCTCTGGTAAGACAGAACACCATCACATAAGGCAGAGAATGGCAACGGCAGCAGACCTGAGAATACGTCATCTTGGAAGCGTGTGAGTTTCAACATGTTTTGATACTGAGGAAAATTTCCCCTCATGTACGGCCACCCTCTCATCAAATCTTTTCTAAGCATCTACTGTATGCCAGGGACAATCCCAGGTGCTGGGACACAGCTGAGAACCAGAACAAAAACTCTGCCCTTACTGAACTCACACTCGTCTCAGGGATCACAGCCTGCAGCGGCTGTCCTTGGTAAAAGCATTAGGCCTCTATGCCAAATAGTCGTCCCTGCGTATCCGTGGCAGGTTGGGTCCAGGACCCCCACGGACACCAAAATCCGTGGATGCTCAAGTCCCTAATATAAAATGGCAGAGTATTTGCATATAACCTATGCACATCCTCCTCCATATTTTAAATCATCCTCATTTCAAGTTTTACATTTAAGTTGTACAGCAACTCCAGGATTACTCATAGTACCTAATACAATGTAAATGCTAGGTAAATAGCTGCTACACTGTGTTGCTTAGCGAACAATGACAAGGAAAAAAAAAAGTCTGCGTGTTTGTAAGGATGCAATTTTATTTTCAGTACATAGTTGGTTGAAACCACACATGTGGAACCGATGGATACGGAGGGCCACCATATTACAAGAAACCATCCGACTTCTTTTTTTTTTAATATAAAAATGTAAAACCTCTAAAGGCCACACCAGATACCAGCAGATATTTAGCAAGTGTTATCACATTAAAGAACAGGGTCAGGCAATGAAAGAGCTGCAAACTGTTCTTCTGAAAGGCAAATGACCCACACACTTTGAAAGCTGCCGAAAAACATCTGTGGGTATCAGACACCACACCCAAGGCTCACACGCCGACTTCAGGTTGGGTGCGTGTCTCTCTCTCCCATACTCCGTCACATACTCACACACACTAAGAGAAACTCTGTTCCACAGATTTGAGAAAGAAACTGGCTAAAATTTTCAAAATGTAGGTCTTTAGGAAAATATCGCAGACTAACAGACGCCTGCCGGCAGCTGAGAGAGGTGGCTGTGCACATGTGCCTGCACACGAAGGTGAGGGCGAGCGGTGCTGAAACTCACAGAAGCAACCCCGGCCCGTGTGCCCGCTCAGACAGTGCTGGTGGTAAACCACACGCACCTTCCTTCGCGGATCTCCAGAGTCATCCACCGAGACACCACATCTCTAGACGCCAGGTCCTTCGCGATGGGGGCGTATCGCTCCATAAACCTTTCGCCTTGACTGTTAATGAGAATGCCTCCCTCTCCACGACATCCTTCCGTAATGAGACAACCAGCACCATATGTGCCTGCAAAAAACCACACATTTATAACCTAACAATTGCTAGGTCTCTATTTCAAATGCATTACTTTTTTTTACAAGATATTTTTTGGGGGAGAGACAAAAAAGATATGCAGAAGGCATTATATGCAAAACTGAACAGAAAGAACAGTTAAGATACAGTAGAAAGTCTGGATAACAAAAAGCACTGACAAGGCTGACAGCTGCAGCAGAGGCTGGGGCAGAGTGGCGTCCCCAGAGAGGAGAAAGGCCGGCCCACAGACCTCTGGCCAATACTCTGATTACAGCCCGGTGTACGTTGGATGCCTCAAATTTTGTTTTAATTTTTGAACATTCTTTTGCACTATGATACTGTGGTGACTAGTTAAGAATACTAGCTTGGAGAATTCATATCTAAGTTACCCAAACAGTGGCAAGAACAGTAATAATGATTATTTTAGTTCATCTTTACACTGCACTTGCTATGGGCAGTTCTAGCTGCTTTCCACATATTAAACTCATTTAAGTCTTACAACAACTCTGGGTAGTATGACCCCCTTTCTCAGTGACAAGCAAATTAACGCTTGGTAACATCCAGTCATGCAGCTGAGGACAGAGCTCAAACCCAAACCTGGGCAGTCCGGCGGTCTGTGCCCCAAACAGCGGCTCTGTGACTCCTCAGTGCGATGAGAAACAGGGCGTGCCAAGCTCTCGAATTTTAACAAAGGAGATCAAAAACCCTAAACTAAATGTATTTCAAAAGCTACAATTTTTATTAGTATACAAAAAGGGCAATCTTGCTTTCAAGACAAGAATGTGATTCTTGCATCTCACCTGCCTTTTGATTTTCTAAGTTTCCATGCTCTTTTTTCTGTGGTTACTTCTCACATATTGAAGACAAAGCATGAGAAGTGGAGCTCTAAGCAAATTACAGAGGGAATTCAGGGGCTCACTGACATTTTGCTGATTAAAAACAGTAATAAAAAATACAACAGGCCGGGTGCAGTGGCTCATGGCTATAATGCCAGCACCCTGAGGGGCCGAGGCAGGAGGATCGCCTAAGCCCTGGCGTTTGAGACCAGCCTGGGCTTAAAATGGTGACACCCTGTCTCTACCAAAAACAAAAAAACCCTCAAAAATTAGCTGGGCATGGTAACACATGCCTGTAGTCCCAGCTATTTGGGAGGCTGAGGTGCAAGGATCGTTTGAGCCTGGGAGACAAAGGCTGCAGTGAGTCAAGATTGCTCCACTGCACTCCAGCCTGGGCAACAGAGCAAGACCCCATCTCTAAACAAATTAAAAAAAAAACCTACAACAAATCCATTTCTTATTTTCATCCCTTCCAGGGATCAGAAAGCTGACACTGACAGAGAAAGAGAAGACACAGGTCTGGTTCTTTGGCACCACTTCAGGGGTCTCCATCGTCCACAGGTCAGAAAAGCAACCCAGAAAAGTCCAGGACGAGTCACCTCAAACAAGAGGCAGACGTGTGTGTGTCTGTCTCTGACTCATTTTGAAGAACCTCCTCCAAACTCAAGACTTCAACTGTCATTTCTGAGTTAATGTCTCCAAATTGCACATTCGTAACCTCAACCGTCAGACGTCCCCAAGACGAGCTCATCTTCCCCACGACAAGCTCCCTCAGTGGTCACGTGGGCTGAGCCCAGCGCCCAACGTCACATGGGGTTCTCTCATGGCTGTGTCTTAACTTTACATCCCATTGTCACGGAAGCTCTGTGTTGTCCTACAAAGCTGAAATCTGCCTGTGCTGCTTCTTGGTTCCACGGCATTCACCCAGCTCTCAGAATGCTCACTCAGTAAACCCCGATGGAGACCCTACCATGTGCTGGGCGTGGAGCACCCCAGTTAATGAGAAGACCTGCCTGCCCGAGTTGCTGACAACCTCACTGCAAAGAGGGACACTGAACAATTCCTGCTTTACTTTTTTTTTTTTTTTTTTTGAGACGAAGTCTTACTCTGTTGCCCAGGCTGGAGCGCAGTGGTGCGATCTCGGCTCACTGCAACCTCTGCCTCCCAGGTTCAAGCATTCCTCCCGCCTCAGCCTCCCAAGTAGCTGGGATCACAGGTGCATGCCACCATGCCCAGCTGATTTTTTTATGTTTAGTAGAGATGAGGTTTCACCATGTTGTGCAGGCTGGTCTTGAACTCCTGACCTCAGGTGATCCACCTGCCTTGGCCTCCCAAAGTGCTGGGATTACAGGTGTGAGCCACCATGCCCGGCCTCAATCCCTGCTTTACTGCTGGCATAAGTATCACCAAGGCAGGGTTTAGGGCTCTTGAGAAATGCATAAGATGGTGGCCCAAACTGCCTTAGGGGAAGGGGAGTGTGGGAAAAGTCTCCTTAAGGAAATGACATTGAAGTTAGGACCTGAGAGCTATGGAAGCTGATCTTCAAAACCATGTTATTACATAAAACTATGGAAGAGCAATGAGTAGGCACCACACGCTTACAAGACACACGAGCCGAACGCCTTCCGGGCAAGGCGTCCTGCCCTACCTGTGGGGTGGAACTGAACAAACTCGAGGTCCTGGCAAGGAAGGCCTGCCCTGGTGATCATGGCCGTGCCGTCGCTGGTGCTGGTGTGGGCAGACGTGCAGCTCAAGTAGGTGCGCCCGTAGCCTATGGAAACAACAGAGAGCAGTGACTGCACACAGTGGCCCACGTCCGGACCTCCTGTCTAATGAGATCACAGAACGGACAGGGCAGCCCCCGGGCACCATCTTCTCAGTGCTGTGTGCACACAACCCCCTACTCACGCACACCCCACACACATCACTGGGGGCCACGCCAGTGGTGCTGCTACCCTGCGCAGGTAGGATAGAAGCCTGGGATCAGAGAAGAGACTTCCATTTATATTTTATTTATTTATTTATTTATTTTGAGATAGGGTCTAACTCTTGTCGCCCAGGCTGGAGTACGGTGGCACAATCTCGGCTCACGGCAACCTCTGGCTCCCAAGTTCAAGTGATTCTTCTGCCTCAGCCTCCCAAGTACCTGGGAATACAGGTGTGCACCACCACATCCAATTGATTTTTGTATTTTTAGTAGAGACTGGGTTTCGCCACGTTGGCCACGCTGGTCTTGAACTCCTGACCTCAGGTGATCCACCCACTTCGGCCTCCCAAAGTGCTGGGATTACAGGCATGAGCCACTATGCGTCTGGCCCTATTTGTATTTTAGATTTGTGCTGTTCAAAAGGTTTCCCCAGTAAGCATATACTACTTTTATAATGAAAATTTTAAAATTTTTATGGATTTTGTTTTTTTCCCCCAGATTTACTGAGGTATGATTGATGAATTAAACAAAAAACAATACTGTATATATTTAAGGTGTACAGCGTGATGATTTATTTTGTGAACTGATGACACAATCAACTTAATACACATCTATCACCTCATACAATTATCCTTTTTTTTGGAGATACAGACACCTAAGGTCTACTCTCTTCGCAAATTTCAAGTTATATTAATGATAGCCACCGTACTGTATGATTTTAACTGTAGCCACCATGCTGTATAATGTTAACTCTGGCCACCATGCTCTATAACATTAACTCTAGCCACCATGCTGTTTATCAGACCTTCAGAACTTCACCTTGTGACGGGAAGTTACACCTTTAATCAGCATCGCCACAGTCTGCATTCCCCCAGCCCCTGGCAACCACTGTCCTATTCTGTTTCTGTGAGTTGTGACAGTTTTAGATCCACATATGAGTGACATGCAGTATCTGTCTTTCTGTGCCTGGGTCGTTTCACTTAACATAATGACTTTGGGTTCATCCACGTTGTCACACATGACAGGATTTCCTTCGTTTTCATAGCTGAATAATATTCAGTTGTGTACACACACCACATTGTCATTAAACACCAAAAATTTTTAGGTTGTTTCCATATCTCGGGTATTGTGAATAACGCTGCAATGAACATGGGGGTCCAGGTGTCTCTTTGAGCTTCTGATTTCATGCCCTTTGGATATACACCCAGAAATGAGGTTGCTGGAGCACATGGTAGTCCTGTGACTTTTGAGGAACCTCCAGAGTTTTCCACAATAGTTGTACTAATTTACATTCCCACCAACAGCACACAGGGTTCCCTTTTCTCCACATCCTCATCAACACTCACTATCTTTTGTCCTCTTGGTAACAGCCATTCTAACTGGAGCGAGATGAGATGATACTCATTGGGGTTTTAATTTGCATTTCTCTGGTGCTTGGTGATGTTGAGCATTTTTTCATACATCAACTGGCCATTTGTATGTCTTCTCTGGAAAAATATCTATTCAAGTCCTTTGCCCATTTTTAGTAGGGTTGTTTTTTAGTAGGGTTTAGTAGGTTGGTTTTAGTAGGGCTTTTTTTTATTTTTTATTTTTTTTTGCTATTTTAGATACTAAGATATCATTAGATATATGGTTTGGAAAATATTTTTTCCCACCCTGTAGTTTTGCTGATTTTTTTTCTTGGCTGTACTGACACTTCTTAACTTTTAAAGTGGCTAAAGTAACTGCCACTGTATAAAATTAAAGTTTTTTATTTTCATTATGTGGAGAAGACAGACTTATCTATCCCAGGAATCAGTATAAACATAGAACCCACTAAAACAAGAGGGATTTTGCCAGAAAACCCCATGTGACTCTTCGGGCCACAGTTTCCTCATCTAAAATCGGGAGAGGTACGCTGTGAACCTGACGGCAGCCACTACCGACTAATGAGGGCCATGCTTTCTCACCCCGAGGCAGGTGCTGCTGTCCTCACCCTTTACAGGTGAGGAACCATGGCTGGGAAAGGCCATCACCCTCACGTGGTTATATCAAGGCCTGTGTCTGAACTGCTATTCTACAATGCCTCTATTTTCCTTAAAATAAAGAGACTCTAAATGAAATTTATTCATTTTTACAAAGGAAATAAAGTAGAAATTAGATTCCTACCCTGTGGCAACAATAGTATTCTTTGCTCTTATGCGATGGATGGACCCGTCCTGTATGCACAGTGCGAAGACACCACGGCACTCCCCATTCTCCATCAGGAGATCCAAGGCAAAATACTCCACAAAACAGCTGGTATCATATCGCAGAGACTAAAAGAAAGAAAAAAAAAGGGCAAGAAGTGTTAAGCCAACCTTTAAGGTTTTAAGGTGATATCTGCTCATGTGAATAGGTGAAAGAACTTGATCCAAATGGACCAGGTAAATCCAAGGAGATCAGCAACAGTGTCAATGACACTGTCAGAGCCCGAGAGGCATTCCACGCCCAGCAGTACCAACAAGGCAGGTGTGCTAGAGAACGCAGCAGCAACAGCTCCTATGTTGGTGACACATTTCCTACTTCTACACAACCCGAAGAGGCACTCCACACTGTCCGGTGGCCGCATGCAGCTCCACTCGGAGTCTGGTGCCAGAGTGAGATCCGCAGACCATGGGGTCACAGCCCAGATGGGAGCTACTGGCAACACATAACCACTTAATTAATTAAAATAAGTCAAAACGTTCAGCTCTTCAGCTACACCTGCCACATTAGCAACAGCCCCATGTGGCTGGCAGCTACCAAAGCGGACGGTTGCAGACGAGCAGATTCCGGCACCGCAGAAAGGTAGGCGCCGGACAGCGCTGCCCGCCTGGACCTGCCGTTCCCTCAGCCAGCGCAAGTCGCTCTCGTGAGCCTGGGCCAGCTCCCCACATGACAGCTCCTGCTCCGGAAGGAGCCGCCGTCTCCTCCCACCACACACTTGTCGATGCACTCAGCCACAGAGAAGTCACTGGTGTTCTAACAACCTGCACATTACTGATCCGTCCCCATGCATCAGAAAACAACAAAGCTCAGAACATGGATTACTCTGAATCAATACTGTTCAGGATATTGTTTGGTCATGCCAAAGTTGACCCTGATTACCCAGTAACTATTGTCACCTCAAGTCTTTGTCCAGTGATAACAGTTAATATGAAAACAATCCATGGCCGGGTGTGGTGGCTCACACCTGTAATCCCAGCACTTTGGGAGGCCGAGGCAGGTGGACTGCCTGAGCTCAGGAGTTCGGGAGCAGCCTGGGCAACATGGGAAACCCTGTCTCTACTAAAATACAAAACATCAGCAAGGCGTGGCGGCGTGCACCTGTAGTCCCAGCTACTCTGGAGGCTGAGGCAGGAGAATCGCTTGAACCCGGGAGGCAGAGGTTGCAGTGAGCAGAGATCGCGCCACTGCACTCCAGCCTGGGTGAGAGTGAGACTCCGTCTCAAAAACAAAGCAAAACAAAACAAACAAACCAAACCAATCCATTCAGGAACTCAGAGGTGGTAAAAGAGCCTTAAAATACTTGTTCTTTGTCTTTTTTTGAGACAGGTCTCCTGTTGCTCAGGCTGGAGTGCAGTGGTATGAACATGGCTCACTGTCTCAAGTGATCCTCCTGCCTCAGCCTCCTGAGTAACTGGGATTACAAGCATGTACCACCATGCTCAGCTACTTTTTAAACTTTCTGTAGAGACAGGGTCTCACTATGTTCTCCAGACTGGTCTCAAACTTCTGGTCTCAAGTGATCCTCCTGCCTTGGCCTCCTAAAGTGCTGGGATTACAGACGTGGGCCACTGTGCCTGGCCTGCTTGCTCTGTTCTTACATGCTGAGTGTCACATATCCCAAGTGAAAACCTGGTATATAAGATTATCAATTCAACTTCCCAACATAGAGGCAACAACTCACACATTGCCTTAGGGGCAGCTTCTCAAGGCACACGCCTGCTCCTGTCACATCCACAGTCGCTGCATGTGCCCCACACGGCTGTTCTCTGTTGCTTTTTACGCAATCTCTGGCTGACTCACTGGGCACGCTAACCCATTCCCCGCTGTCACCACAAGCCCCAGCACTATGTGTCCTGTCTCAGGTGGACGGGGGGCAGCCTTACCCTCCCATATAAGGTGTGCAATATTGAGTGGCCGGTCCGATCAGCCACACAGCAGCACCGATGGGCCTGCCTGCCCTTTCCAAACTTGAGGCTGTGTCCGCCAAATGCACGCTGATAAATCTTCCCATCTTCAGTTCTGCTAAACGGCATGCCATAATTTTCTACCTGTGAAAGATAAAAACAAACAAAAGCCTTATTACCCTAAAGGAGTCAAGATATTCACAGCTAATCTACACTAAACAACTTTAATACAAATCTGCAAACCCAAATTAACCTATTTTATGAAAATGTCAACACTTCATCAAAGAGAAGTTTTTCTTATTACATGTAATACATAGTTCATGATGGACAAAGACTTCTCTTGTGAGCTTTGCTAATCACCATTCTTTCGGCTGCCACATCTGCCTCAACTGCTTACATTTTTTCCAGGACTCTTGTACTGGAAACAGACCACCAGAGCACCCAGAGCCTCCCGCCCATCACCTCGACCATGGCAGTGGGGGCCTGCTCCGTCACGTAGTGGATGGCATCCTGGTCCCCCAGCCAGTCGGAGCCCTTCACGGTGTCATAGAAATGCCACCTCCAGTTGTCCTCCTCCATGTTCCCCAGAGCAGCATTGATTCCAACCTGGAAACACCAACCACTCCTTACAAGCCACAAACAGGAGCCCCAGCTTTGTCTTCCAGGCCCAAATCCACCCGCTGGGGGATTCAGAGAAAGCCAGCTACTCACATGGTGACTCCCAGTGAGGGCTGACCTCAGCAGAGGAGCAGCCAGGCCTGACAGATTCCAGATCACAACCCCTCCCAGACTCACCCAGTGATTCCATCCCTTAGCCTCAGTCTCCTCATCTGTGTGGTGGAGACAGAGGGAACTCCAGGAAGGGCTGACTGGAGCAGTGAGTGAAAGGCTACCTGTAATATGCTTATTACCTAACGTATCTGGCACAGAAAAGGTACTCCATGAATCTCTCCGCATAATTTTATTAACAAATCTTCCCAACGGCATTTACGGGCATGTGTTAAAGATTAGAAGTGCTTCCTGCCAAGTAATAAACTCCATACTCAGAGTCGCACTCCCCTGTACCCCTACTTCCTTTGGCTGTGTGTGCCCACCACCGTCTTACCCCTCAGAGAGTCCCAGAAGACAGCAGCACCAGGGACAAATGAAACCCTTGCCCTTTTCTTCCCCAACCTAAATTCTGAATCCTCCTCTTTAGATGATCTCCTTTTCTTAAGGTGTTGGGGTGGCAGGGGTGGGTGGGGAGGGTAGATGGTCAGAGAAAACCCAAGTGTGACTGGAGTCTGAATTAAGAGTGACAACAAGGCTCCCGCCCTTCAAAGTCCCCAGGGAAGAGGCTCCAGGGAGAGACCCCTGAATGGGTGAGCTGAGTAAGGCACAGCAAGAGGCCAAGTGGCTGGAGCACAGGGAGGAGGCAGGAGGCTGCCCAGGTAGAAAGTGCGAGGCTGCGCGGGACCTGCACGGAGTGGGAGCACAGTGGGGCACCTTTCTCTTACCTGCGCTGCAACAGTGTGTGACCTGGTAGGAAACAGCTTGGTAACACATGCTGTATCAAACTCTGCCTCGGAAAGGCCAAATGCAGCTCGCAAAGCCTGCCCCTCCAGCGCCTACCACCACTGCATCAAATTCATGATCCACTACTGGATACTGAGCAGAAATCTGGAAAAGAAAAATTCACCTGTCAAGCACAGGTTCCACTATGCCAAACATGAAGACTCTTGTGCCAGTGAAAGAGCTTGACAAAGATAAAAGGAGCAACTGCTGGGCACACAGGGCCTCCATCCTGTCCTGGGGCTGAGCCCTGAACAGTGCAGGGAGAAGTAGGCACATTCGCACCTGGAGAAGGGACTGATAATCAGATTCTATGAATGGTAGAGGGTCTATTCCATGGGATCAGACTGAGGACCACAACTCTACTTCAGGGCCGTGCCTATGCTTATGCCTGAGAAGGTACCAAGGAGCATTCAGTCGCTATTGTGAGCTTATGAGAAAAGAACTTCTCAGCACGTTTCAGTTTTCCAACAGAGAGAGAACAGGCACACTCAATACCAAGGAACCCACACCGGAAGGGCCCCACGGTCCTCTTTTCAGTAGGATTTTATCATCTATCACAGCAGATACTGTTCATTTTAATTTATTGCTTTACTTGACCTAAATTTAAATCTAATTTATAGATACATAACAGATACAAGTAAAAATGTTAACATCTATGTTTATATTGGTACTTGCAATTAAGTATTATTACACTGAAAATAATTTCAGCATGCATTGGATACCTATGAGAAATTTTTCCCTTATGTCTATGACTCATATGAAAACAAACTGGTATAGATCCTTACCCCCAAGCCAAAAAAATCATTTATAATGGAACAAAAAGCATGAACTTACGGAATCTGAAACTTTAGCAGATGCCCTCTCGTTCCTTCAACAGTGAAGTGAACACCTCGGGTTCCTGTTTGCAACACTGTTGGCCACTGGAGACACAGAAGACACAGATCCAGAGGGTTAGTGTCCTGAAGGAACAAATGCTGTGGGGGATAGTAATTCAAACTTCCCCTTGAAAACTGTTCACCTTCTTATGTACCCAGGTGCTCCTGTGCATCCAGAGAGCTCAGCTGGGACCCTCTATTTAACCCTGAAGGGCAGCCCAAGGGGCAAGGAAGGACTGAGCCCCCAGGTCCTCCTTTCCACCCTGACTTGGCACTCTAGAAAACCAGGATGAAGCTTGTTTCCAAAAAGGATACTCACTGACTCAGATACGAGATGAAAAAGACGCACTTCCTCTGGGAAGTCTTCACTTATGCTACTTAGTGGAGGAGGGGAAAGACATCCAGATCGTATTACTGTATGTGGTATTTTGCAAATAATGAAGCATTTTAACCGGCTCCATCAGAGCCCTTTCCACATTACAGTTCCAATCGTCCAGGAGGGCTTGCGGTCAGTTCAAAAGGCACTGGACACCTGAATCAGGAGATCTGTATCCTGGAACAGTAAAGGCTGACAGCCCAGAGGGAAGAGGTGTCATCCCTTCATCACACAGGAGGATGTCGGATGCACACTCTCCCCTGCCTGGTTGATGCTGGCTTTTTCCTGGCCAACGTCTACAACTTGACATATCTCACTGCTTAAATTTTCCATCTTAGAAACCTTTACTCAAGAAAACTGGTTTTAGTGTTTAGTTTTTAGTGGCTCTGTGTGAGAGAGGTCACACTGTCCCATATGCTAAGGTTGGCCAGCCATTTAGGGGATACGTTTTCCATTCTGCTGGCGGCATTTTAGAAGACCACTGAATAGTCTCAGAAATATCATCAAGAATAGTTTTAGGGGCTGGGCGTGGTGGCTCATGCCTGTAATCCCAGCATTTTGGGAGGCCAAGGTGGGCAGATCACCTGAAGTCAGGAGTTCGAGACCAGTCTGGCCAACATGGCAAAACCCCCTCTCTACTAAAAATTAGCTGGTCGTGGTGGCGGGCACCTGTAATCCCAGCTACTTGGGAAGCTGAGGCAGGAGAATCGCTTGAACCCAGGAGGCAGAGGTTGCAGTGAGCCGAGACTGTGCCACTGTACTCCGGCCTGGGCGACAGAGCGAGACAATGTCTCCAAAAAAACAAAAGAAAAAAAAAAGCTTTAGGAAATTATGCACTCAGCAATCAGAAGAGGGGATGTGAGGGATGTCTTCAAGTATTTAGAAATACTTGCAATTCACAAATTACTTATTATGTGGGATAAAAAATTATTCTTCATTTCTCCAATTTCTAGTCTGTTTTTATTGACATAAGCTAATTTAGTTTTTTCTTTTTTCAGAAAATGAGAAAGAACGAATATTCTTCTACCTTAGTATAATTTTTTACATGGTAAAATCATATTTTAAGAAAGAAGTCTTTGAAATAATTTTAATAAAAACGTTCTTGAAAATTTTGTAAAGTGCCCTATTAACATAGGTAATAGCACCAATAAAAACAGTACATTATACCAAATGTAAGTAGAAACAGTGAGATCACTAAATGTTTATTCGTTCTTTCTAGGATGTTGATGTGGAATACACACTGCCCACTCCCCACCACACACACACACAGCTGCCTTAAAAGGGGCAGCTACTATAACACAATCTTGAACAAATCATCACGCCATCCCCCTGGGGAAAAGGACACTAACCCTCTGCATCTAAATCTCATCTGGGGCAGATTTTTGAATCTGGAAAGCCCAACTTCAAGCCAATGTCAGTCTTTAGATAAAACTCAAAACTACTTTTGACACAAAACTAGTCTTTTGTGCCAATTATTAATTTTTTAGGAGAAACTATCAAACATTTCCTCTAAGAAAAAACATGGGGAACATATAACTAAAAGGAATACTTAGACCTTGCTTAACAATACAGAATTTCAGATGACTGAATCAGGAGGTGGAGGGGGAAAAGTAACAAGTGCAGAGACATTCATATCCGAAATCTAGCAAAGTAAGGGGTCCTCATCGAATAAAATGCACCTATAAATCATGAGCAAGAAACGAATCTGCATGTACAGCCTACACAATCACAAAAGCAGCCAACGAAGAACCCAAAAACGCACGACTTTCTGTAGGAAAAGCTACCTTCATCAAGATAAAAAGACTTTTACAAAACCCAAGACTAAATTTTGGTTCCATTTTGCTATCTTGCCATCTGGTCTGAGGTGCCTGGGGCCTTAGTCTGCAGAAGGAACACTGGGCACCATCTGGGTTGGGGACAAAGGCACTGGCTCTATCTAGCTTCTCTCCAACCACAAGCTACCATTGCCCCTAAAAAGTCCCACTGACCATGGGCTTCACCTCCTGCTTGTGGACGCCCTCCCAGCAGCTCCTAAGAGCCCAAGATGCGGCGGGGGTCTCTGCTCAGTCAGCACCAACCACAGCAACACGCTAGAACGGTTTACACGCTTTCCGATGTTGACAGGATGGCTGTATGACTAATCCTCACATTTAATTCAAAGAGATTTTCAATAACTATTTCAAAAAGGAGAAAATTGCACAATCACAGGCATAATTCAAATCAATATTGCTGAATGCCTTGGTTCCTCTATTGAGATTTTTACTCTGCAATTTAAAATTACTTTGTAATTAAGAGGTGGGTGGCTAAGTTCATTTAAAAGAACCAAACAACTAAACCTATCCAATTTCGCTTGATTAAATGAAATCCTAGAAGGCCGATTCTGAAGATGCAATCGTAGAGGGCACATTCAGACACTCAGAGAGCAAGGGCTCAGGGAAGTATAACCCTGACCATCATCCTGGACTAAGCCGAGCCCGGCCCTCGAGGTACTCAGCGCACAGGCAAGCACAGGTCCTGGAGTCCTCGCTCGGTCAGTGCCCTGAGCTCTCCGTCTGATTTTTAAAAACTGGCACAGCTGCTTTTAAACACCGGCACATTTTTGTGGCACAAGGGCCACCAAACGGGACCCAAAGTACAGGTCCTTAACTTCCAAGATCCCGAAGTGGACATGCACAGATTTGCGCTCTCTGGAAAGGGGAACTGCAAGCCCAAGCTCGGGCGCGCCGCGCTTCCCACCGGACACCCACCCGGCCGAGCCCGGCCACTCCTCGCACCCACCCAGGCGGTTTCACCCGCCCCGCCGGCCCCACCCACGGGCTGCGGGCGGCCCCGCAGGACAACCCTCACAGAGGGCGGCAGAGGCCCGGCCCAGCCAGGACTCCACCCCGGTGACCTTGGGCAGACACGACTCCTCCCCGAGTCCACCCGCCAGGCAGAGGCGAGGGGCTACCTCAGCCCGCGAGGTCGCCGGACCCCAGGCCCGGACCAAAGCGGCGGAGGGGACGCCCAGCAAGCCCGCGGGGTCGCGACCTTCACCGGGACGCGGCCTACCTGCTAAGGACCGAGCTCCCCAGGCCCCCGAGTACACTCCGCGGCTCCCCCTCGCACCGGCCCAGGGCTCTCCCAGCCCCTTCCCGATCCCCGGGCAGGGGGCGCGGGCACCCGGCGCCCGCTCCGCTCGGACCCGCTGGGGACCGTCCCGCTCCTACCGCCGCCTCGCCCCCCGCCTGCCCTGCCCCGGTCCGCGGCAGGGACTCACCGCCTTGGCCAGCGCCAGCGCCAAGCGCCGAGCGCTTGGCAACCGCGACAGGCCCCGGACCCCCGACACGTCTGTAGTCGCCGCCGCGCAGTCCCGCCAGTCCCTGCGCAGACTGCGCCTGCGCACCACGGCCGGGTCAAGGCGGGGCGCTAGTGGGGGACATCGCGCCTGCGCACCACGACACGCCCGGGCAGGGGTCTAATGGGCGGGGACGCCGCGCCTGCGCAAAGCGGACCCGCGGACGGTGGCGCTGGGTGGCCACGGAGGTCCCGCGCTCCCCGACCGAGATAGGGCGGGCCCTATTTCGGGGAGATGTTGGGCACCAACATTTTTTAAAGCCCCGTGGGTGGTTCTCCGGGATCTCCCAGACCGAGAGGGCCTGAACGTCCAGACCTCAGGGAATGGGGTCGAAGGGGCGGCGCTCGTCCGCGGAGGTGGGCGGGAGCGGCCCGGGGCCTCCGGCCTCTAGAGAGCGGGAGTGACCCTCGGTTTCTGGCCTCCGAGGGGCGGGAGCGATCCTCAGCCATGTCCCTAGTGTCTGGCTTCCGGCTGATTTTTAAATTTTTGGTAGAGGCGGGATCTTGCTCTGTTGCCCAGGCTGGTCTCGAACTTGTGGCCTCAAGCGATCCTACCTCCTCGGCCTCCCCAAGTGCGGAGATTACAGACAGAGCCACTGCGCACGGCCGTGGTCAGCTTTGAAAGCTGGGTAGATCCCTTTGGCTCATACGCCTTTCTGCTAGCTTACCCTGATTCTGCTTCTGGTTCAGATAGTATTTTAATATTTCTAGTGTGTCTTTTTCTAAGATATCTGAAATCTTTTTGTGGAATGAAGTGGCATGAAAAATAAACCAATAATCATTAGTAAGTATGTTTCCTGTCTTTTCACTTTATTAAAATCTTCGTCTTGTGCATCATGTTTAACAATTTTATTTTAGTAAATTTGCAAGGGTTCAGTCCCATTTTACTGATATTTGGGTTGTTTCCCATTTTTGCTCTTAATAACACCATACAGAACATATTTGTGACCATAACTTTCTCTTTAGGATTATTTTTTTAGATGTATGCCCCAGACGTGACCTTTATTGGCTTGCAGGGAATGAACATCATACCTCCTAGACTTATTTTTTTAAAGTTACGCTGTTTTAGTCCTGGGTTAGTTACCTAATTTTGTTTGGTTTGAGACGGAGTTTCGCTCTTGTTGCCCAGGCTGGAGTGGAATGGCGGGATCTCGGCTCACCGCAACCTCTGCCTCCAGGGTTCAAGAGATTCTCCCGCGGAGCTTACAGTGAGCGGAGATGGCGCCACTTCACTCCAGCCTGGGCAACAGAGCAAGACTATATTGCTTTAATTTACTCTGCCGGCTATCTGGAGAGATGCAACCTCATCAGCAGAAATTATTTCCACCCTGCTGCTTTTTAAATGTTATTTCCTATAGCCAGGTACTGAGCCCTTCAATTGAGGTCTAAACCCTCCACCCTCTCCCTCCGGGATTGCCAAGCCTGTGGTTTCAGTTCCATGCTCCCAGGTAGATTGTGTCAACTCAAAGTCAATGCGCTTATGAAATACTTTTTGTGGTTTTTTTCTTAATTTTAAGAGGTTTTTTTTTAAAATATGTTTTTGTTTCATGGAGGCGACACCCTCTGTCTCTGAGTTGTGGGAGCCTTCCTCCTTCAGTCTGCATGTACTGAAGCCAGTGTTTGCCGTACCAGCCCCTCAGCCGCAGCAGCCCACAGTGAGGTGCAGGTGCTCACGCCATCGCCCCAGAGAGCTCCTCCATTCGCCCCTCCACCCGTAGCCCCTCGAAACCACTGCCCTGCTCCCCGACACGGTACACTGTCTTCTCCAAGATGTCATGTGTTGGCATCCTTTGGCCTGTGCCCACCGAAACTAGCTTCCTTCAACGGGCATGTAGCCTGGGAGACCTGGGGCATTTGGGTGCATCTTTCCACTGCTGGTTGGTGCCCCCTGTGTGGAAGCATCCGCGTTAGTTCACGCCTTCTCCTGCTCCTGCCGACGGACATTTTGTTTTCTTCCAGTTATTGGCAATGAGGAATGAGGCCTAAACACTTGTGTGCAGGTTTGTGTGTGCACGTTTAAGTTTTCCCTTGGGGGACATTTCAGCAGTGGGGTTGCTGGATGACATGGTAAGGATGTGCTTAACTTCGTAAGAAACTCCAGGACCACTTTCCAGCATGGCGGGACCCCTCCCATTCCCACTGCAGCTTATGAGGGTCCCAGTTCCTCTGCATCATCACTAGAACCTGGGTTGGCCCATGGGTTTTGTCTGTTTTTAGCCATTTTAATGGATTTGCAGAGGTACTGCTGACTGGCATTTCTCCAGCATCTCTATGATGTTGAGCCTCTTTCTCGGGCAATATGCCCTCCTTATACCTTCTTTGATGAGGCCTCCGTTCCAATATTGGCCCTCTCTTTAATACTGGGGTTTTTACTTTCTTATGGTTAAGTTTTGATGGTTCTTCATATATCCTGCGTGCCAGTAGGTTGTGAGACGTGTGATTCACAAATGTTTATTTCTAGACCATAGTTCATGTTTCATTCTCTTTGGATTTTTATATTGCTTTATAGAATTATAATTTTAAATTTATGACTAAATTTAATTTGTCAATCTTATGAATCATGCTTTTGGTGTCATGTCTAAGAACTTTTCGCCTAACCCCAGGCCATACGAATTTTCCCCTGTGTTTTTAGCTAAGGGTTTGATAGCGTTATGTTCTCCATTTAGGCCTTTAATAAATGTTGAGGAACATTTTGTGACCGCCATGGCCATACCTTTCTCCATCTCTCACGGTATCGTGGGCATTTGCAGCTCCCAGTGCGCCGTGCTGTTCCCGTCTTCTTGGTCTGCTCCTCCTGTCATACCTTTCTCCGTCTCTCACAGTATCGTGGGCGTTTGCAGCTCCCAGTGCCCCGTGCTGTTCCCGGCTTCTTGGTCCGCTCTTCCTGTGAGTTTCAGGGCACGTCTTAGTGCTGGCACTGTCCTGGTCCATCGGGGGTCCCATGAGCTTCTCCATGTGGGAAGGTTGGGACTGTGATGTTGACGGGATGCCCTGTGAGTCAGGAGGAGGTGCTGACGGGGGTTTCCATGTAGGAGAGAGAGGTGTTTGGTTTTCCGGATGGGGCAGACTTGAGAGGGGACAAACTTGAGAAATGCCACCAATGAGAAGGGCACGCACAGCAGGTCTCGGGGCCGCCCAGCCGTGTGGGAGACAAACGTGGATGTGTCAGTGGCCACGCCAGGAGGTAAACCCTCAACCAAGGGCCTCTGGGTGTCCAAGACCAAGTCTTGCTCAAGAGGTGTGTTCAGCTGAGCCAACCATGGCAGAAATGCATAAGGGAGATCCCACGGTTCCTCTGTTTAAATCCCCTGCTAATCCCACCAGACTCAGAGAAGCAGCCAAGTCCTCACAGCAGCCTGCAACCCCCGCCTGACTCGGCCTCCTCTTGGCTCTGATTCTCTGCACCCTTCTATCCCTGTCTCTTCTTCCATCAGAGAGGAGATCCGGCACGTTTATCCTGGTGGATTCAAACCCATCTTTGCCCCACATATAGTCACCGGAATGAATAGGTATAATCTAGAAAGAGTCCTTTTGAAAAAGAAAAAAGCAGGCCGGGCATGGTGGCTCATGCCTATAACCCTGCAGGGACCAGCCCCACAGGGTCGGTGGGTCTCTCCCTGTGTGCGGCGACGAGAGAGTGTAGAAATAAAGACACAAGACAAAGAGATAAGAGAAAGGGCAGCTGGGCCCGGGGGGCCACTACCACCAATGCGCGGAGAACGGTAGTGCCCCGAATGTCTGGCTGCGCTGTTATTTATTGGATACAAGGCAGAAGGGGCAGGGTAAAGAATGTGAGTCACCTGCAATGATAGGTAAGGTCACGTGGGTCACGTGTCCACTGGACAGGGGGCCCTTCCCTGCCTGGCAGCCGAGGCAGAGAGGGAGAGGAGACAGAGAGAAAGACAGCTTATGCCATTATTTCCGCATATCAGGGACTATTAGTATTTTTACTAATTTACTACTGCTATCTAGAAGGCAGAGCCAGGTGTACAGGATGAAACATGAAGGCGGACTAGGAGCGTGACCACTGAAGCACAGCATCACAGGGAGACGGTTAGGCCTCCGGATAACTGCAGGCGAGCCTGACTGATGTCAGGCCCTCCACAAGAGGTGGAGGAGCAGAGTCTTCTCTAAACTCCCCCGGGGAAAGGGAGACCCCCCCCCCTCCCCGCCCTTTCCCGGTCTGCTAAGTATCGGGTGTTGTTCCTTGACACCTTTTGCTATCCGCCTGGTAACAGGCATCTTCCCAGACGCTGGCATCACCGCTAGACCAAGGAGCCCTCTGGTGGCCCGGTCCGGGCATAACAGAAGGCTCGCACTCTTGTCTTCTGGTCACACCTCACTATGTCCCCTCAGCTCCTATCTCTGTATGGCCTGGTTTTTCCTAGGCTACGATTATAGAGCAAGGATTATCATAATATTGGAATAAAAAGTAATTGCTACAAACTAATGATTAATGATATTCATATATAATCATATCTAAGATCTATATCTGGTATAACTATTCTTGTTTTATATTTTATTATACTGGAACAGCTCGTGTCCTCTGTCTCTTGCCTCGGTGCCTGGGTGGCTTGCCACCCACATAATCCCAGCACTTTGGGAGGCTGAGGTGGGAGAATCACCTGAGGTCAGGAGTTTCAGACCAGCCTGGACAACATGGTGAAACCCCATCTGTAGTAAACATATAAAAATTAGTTGGGCGTGGTGGTGCGTGCCTGTAATCCCAGCCACTTGGGAGGCTGAGGCAGGAGAATCATTTGAACCCAGAAGATGGAGGTTGCAGTGAGCTGAGATCGCGCCACTGCACTCCAGCCTGGGTGGCAGAGTGATATTGTCTCAAAAACATAGTAATAGGAATAATAAAGGAAAAGTGCAAAAATTCAAACAACTTAACAGAAACTGGGCAAAAGAGCTGAACCGGCCCTCCACAGAAGAGGAAATGTGGAGGAATGGCTAATGAAAACATGAAGAGGGGCTCAGCCTAACAGGGGGAGATATCACGTGACAACCACCAGACGGGCAAAAATCCCACAACCCAATCCATGCCAGCGTTGGGGAGAATGGAGAGAAGCAGGAACACCAGGCACTGCTAACGCTTGTGAAGTATATTTCTGCTATGCTTGTATATGAAAGTGTGTGTGTTGTGGGTTATGAGGAAAATTACATTTTTACCTGGGATGAAATTTTAAAATTTGAAAGCTACTGACCAGAAGAAACTTGCGCTTGTGTACAAAAGAAATGCCCAAGAACGTTCCCAACAAAACACAGTCCTAAGGGCCCCAACCTGGCCAAACACTCATCCACGGGAAGATGAAGACATTTCCCATGCTCCCCTCAGACGACGGGAGACCATGCAGCAATGAAAATGAGCCATGTCAGTGTGGGTGGGTCTCAGGGAGAGAATGGAGGACAAAAATAGACACAGAGCAGGTGCTCAGAGCCATGCAGTGCAGGAGCAGCCACGCAGGAGAATTCCCTCACGTCAAAGTTCAAAACTACAGCCGAGGCAACAGAGCAAGACCCTGCCTCAAAAAGAAAACAGAAAGTTCAAAAACTAAATGGCATATCTTTTAGGGATGTACACACACGGTGAAAGAAACATACTATGAAGGAAAGTGTGCAAATAATAAAGACTAAAGCAGGAAGTGATTCCCTCCGTAGGAGAAGGGAAGGGACTGGGACTCAGGCAGGGCCTCCAGGGAGCATCCAAAGCTATGTCTCTTCAGATTCTACTCCCTAAACTTGGTGGAGGTCCTCTGTGTCCAATGTGTCAATATTCTTTATACCTTACCCATACTGTAAAAACGCTTTATTTCTATTCAATATTTAGAAGACAGTTATAAACAAGATGCATTCAATAGCATGGTGGCAGATGAACATCAGGAAGGAACATCCATGAGCTTCCATCCACGGAACCTCACCATGGATACGCTTGTGATCAAGGGCCTGGTCTCCCCTCAAGACACGGTCACAGATCAGAGGCCACACCATCCTAGCAGTGGAGCAGGACCAGCTGGGACAGGGTCCTTCTGTGACACCTGCTGCATCACCAGGCTGGGTGAACGGACACAATTGCCAGAACTCACAGAATAGAAGTATCAGCACCGAAACCTCACAGGAAAAATGGTAAGTTCTAAGTTTCTCCATTAATAGTAACTCTCAGATTAATCTCTGTCATCCATCGCTTCTCCAAGAAATGACTTTTTAGGGTGATGTGCCAGGCGCCATGTTGGAGGGCTGGTGGTAGCGGCTTGGGGAGGTGCTCACTCTGTCGGTCTCACTCTCTCACACGCTTCCCCGGCTCCCTTCGTTCCCCCCCACCCCACTTGGCCTGCGTGCTGGAGGGTGTGCGAGGGAGTGGGAGGACGTCGGGGGGTGGGGGGAGGCGTTCCGGTCCCCAAGAGACCCGCGGAGGGAGGCGGAGGCTGTGAGGGACTCCGGGAAGCCATGGACGTCGACAGGCTCCAGGAGGCGCTGGAAGATTTTGAGAAGAGGCAAAAAAGAAAGTCTGTCCTGTCCTGGATCAGTTCCTTTTGTCATGTAGCCAAGACTGGAGAAACAGATTCCGTGGTCCCAATTTAAAGGCTATTTTATTTTCAAACTGGAGAAAGTGATGGATGATTTCAGAACTTCAGCTCCTGCGCCAAGAGGTCCTCCCAACCCTAATGTCGAATATATTCCCTGTGATGAAACAAAGGGAAGAATACTGAAAAACTGTCACTGGATTTAACCGTATCCCTTTTACTATTCAGCGATTATGTGAATTGTTAACAGATCCGAGGAGAAACTATACAGGAACAGACAAATTTCTCAGAGGAGTAGAAAAGAACGTGATGGTTGTTAGCTGTGTTTATCCTTCTTCAGAGAAAAACAATTCCAATAGTTTAAATCGAATGAATGGTGTGATGTTTCCTGGAAATGCACCAAGCTATACTGAGAGGTCTAATATAAATGGGCCTGGGACACCCAGGCCACGTAATCGACCAAAGGTTTCTCTGTCAGCCCCCATGACAACAAATGGGTGGCCTGAGAGCACAGACAGCAAAGAGGCAAATTTGCAGCAAAATGAAGAGAAAACTCAGTGACTCTTCGACATCTGAATCAGAAGTTTCCTCAGTGAGCCCTTTGAGAAATAAACATCCAGATGAAGATGCTGTGGAAGCTGAGGGGCATGAGGTAAAAAGACTCAGGTTTGACAAAAAAGGCGAAGTCGGAGAAATAGCCAGTCAAGCGACTTGCAGCGAAATTTCTTCAGTTATGGTAGAAGAAACAGAAGCATCACCTTCATCTCATGATAAAGACAAAAAAAGCCATGGTACCCGGCAGCGCGTTCAGAAGAAGATGAAGATGAAGAGGAAGAAGAAGGGATTGAGAGACCATCTGTAAAAGGGAGGAGTAAGGAGATCCTCAAATTCTTGCATTCATTGTTTTTGTGAAAGAATTGTACATCATGGAACTCCTTGTAATGTCGACGCTGGGCTTTTCTCCCACCTGTATGCAGTTGCTGCTGAATTTCAGGGGATGTGATTTGAACTACAGAACATCAGAATTCACGAAACTTAACTGTGGAGGTATTTTGAATATAAAATTTAAGTACAACAACATTTGCTTATTTTTAGAGTCTTTTATGACATCAAGAGAAATGGTCCCAGAAAGAAAAAACCAAGAAAAAGAATCTGATGATGCCTCAACTGTGAATGAAGAGACTTCTGAGGAAAATAATGAAATGGAGGAATCTGATGTGTCTCAAGCTGAGAAAGATTTACTACATTCTGAAGGTAGTGAAAACGAAGGCCCTGAAAGTAGTGGTTCTTCTGACTGCCGTGAAACAGAAGAATTAGTAGGATCCAATTCCAGTAAAACTGGAGAGATTCTTTCAGAATCATCCATGGATAATGATGACGAAGCCACAGAAGTCACCGATGAACCACTGGAACAAGACTATTTAGAAACATTTACATGCAGTATTTTACACACAGTTCTGGTTTTAACACTGTATAAAACTTTTATGTAAAAAAGTGCACCTTTAGTTTTATAAGAAAAGCAGGTTGTAAAATAAAGTACTTTATGGATAATTCCTGAAAGAGTTGTCCATGTAAGAACTGTGAATATCAGCTCCTCTGGGTCCTGCTTACCTTACCGCTGATTTCTTTTTCTTTCTTTCTTTCTTTCTTTCTTTCTTTCTTTCTTTCTTTCTTTCTTTCTTTCTTTCTTTCTTTCTTTTCTTTCTTTCTTTCTTTCTTTGGTCTGGGCAAATCAGTGGTTTGTGTATAGATTTTTTTTTTTAATTTAGGATTAAAGTTTTTAAACTGGAAAGTAATTATAATTTTGAACAGTTTTTTGAGATTATCACATTTAGTTTATACATATGCAAGAAGCTTTTTGTCTTGTGTCTTTCTGATAGCTCCAGCAGTTTTCATATTTTGGTCATAGTTTCAACATTTTAACATGTGAATAATAGAGTTTCATGCTGGTTTCCAGATTTTATTGTTCGGATACATACAATAGAACCTTAAGTTTTATATATATATATATATATATATATATATATATATATATATATATATATATATTCTAAGGGGGAAAATGTTATATTTTTCTGTTTGTATAAGAGATAAATACAGTGGATACTTTTTCTATTGGTAATGACTGAGTTCACCTCTTTCAGAAGACATTTTCTTTCTCTTCTGAGTAACTGAAATAAAATCTGGCCTCTGTGAAACCCTGGAAATACCACGACCCTCAACTAGAAACACCAATACCAGCTCCTCCGCGAGTTTCCAGCTCCACAACCTAAGACATCAGAGGCAGCATTGGTTCCTCACGTAGAGTCCAGCTCCGGGACCCTCATATTTGAACCGCAGGGCCATCTCATCCCTGGATCTCCAGCTGCACCACACTCAAATTAGAACAACATCAGTTCCTCCCCAGGTCTCCACCTGCACAGCCCTCGAAAGGGAATGTCAGCTCCTCCCCGGGTCTCCAGCTGTAGGGCCCTAAAACTAGAACATCAGCTCCCGCCTGGGTCGCCAGCAGCACCACCCTCAAACTGGAACATCAGATCCCCACGGGTCTCCAGCTGCAGGGCCCTCAAACTGGAACATCAGCTCCCCACCAGATCTCCAGCTGCACGGACCTCAAACTGGAACATCAGCTCCCCGCCGGGTCTCCAGCTGCACTGCCTGCAAACTGGAACATGAGCTCCCTGCCCGGTCTCCAGCTGCATGGCCCTCAAACTGGAACATCAGCTCCCCACCAGATTGCCAGCTGCACGGCCCTCAAACTGGAATATCAGCTCCACCCCGGGGCTCCAGGTGCACAGCCCTCAACCTGCAACATCAGCTCCCCACTGGGTCTCCAGATGAATGGCCCTCAACCTGCAACATCAGCTCCCCACCGGGTCTCCAGATGCATGGCCCTCAAACTGGAACATCAGCTCCCCACCGGGTCTCCAGCTGCATGGCCTTAAACTGGAACATCAGCTCCGAGACCCTCAAACAGGAACATCAGCTCCCCACAGGGTCTCCAGCTGCACAGCCCTCAAATTGCAACATCACTTCCCCCCTGCATGTCCAGCTGCACCGCCTCAAACTGCAACATCAGCTCCCCGCTGGGTCTCCAGCAGCATGGCCCTCAACCTGGAACATCAGCTCCCCCCAACCCGGGTCTCCAACTCCACAGCCCTCAACCTGCAACACTGGCTACCAACTGGGTCTCCAGATGCATGGCCCTCAAACTGGAACATCAGCTCCACCCCCGGTATCCAGCTGCACAGCCCTCAAACTGGAACATCAGCTCCCTGCCGGGTCTCCAGGTGCACGGCCCTCAAACTGGAACATCAGCTCCCCACCAGGTCTCCAGCCGCACGGCCCTCATACTGGAACATCAGCTCCCCACCAGATCTCCAGCTGCACAGCTCTCAAACAGGAACATCAGCTCCCCACAGGGTCTCCAGCTGCACGGCTCTCAAACAAGAACATCAGCTCCCCACAGGGTCTCCAGCTGCACGGCCCTCAACCTGCAACACTGGCTCCCCACCGGGTCTCCCGATGCACGGCCCTCAAACTGCAACATCAGTTCCCCCCGGGCATACAGCTGCATGGCCTTAAACTGGAACATCAGCTCCCCGCTAGGTCTCCAGGAGCACGGTCCTCAAACTGGAACATCAGCTCCCTGCCAGGTCACCAGCTGCATGGCCCTCAAACTGGAACATCACCTCCCCGCCAGGTCTCCAGCTGCATGGCCCTCAAATTGCAACATCAGCTCCCATCAGAGCCTCCAGCTGCATGGCCATCAAACTGGAACATCAGCTCCCCCGCGGGTCTCCAGCTGCACAGACCTCAAACTTGAACATCAGCTCCCCGCCGGGTCATCAACTGCATGGCCCTCAAACTGGAACATCAGCTCCACCCCTGGGTCTCCAGTAGCACGGCCCTACAACTGGAACATCAGCTTCCCCCTGGGTCTCCGGCTGCACAGCCCTACAACCGGAACATCAGCTCCCTGCCGGGTCTCCAGCTGCACAGCCCTCAAACTGGAACATCAGCTCCCCGCTGAGTTCAAACTATTCCAGTTTGAGGGCCGTGCAGCTGGAGACCCGGCGGGGAGCTGATGTTCCAGTCTGAGGGCCGTGCAGCTGGAGACCCGCGGGGGAGCCGAACTTCCGGTTTGAGGGCCATGCAGCTGGATACCCGGTGGGGAGCTGAAGTTCCAGTTTGAGGGCCGTGAAGCTGGAGACCCGTTGGGGAGCTGAAGTTCCAGTTTGAGGGCCGTGAAGCTGGAGACCCGGTGGGGAGCTGATGTTCCAGTCTGAGGGCCGTGCAGCTGGAGACCCAGTGGGGAGCTGATGTTCCAGTCTGAGGGCCGTGCAGCTGGAGACCCGGTGGGGAGCTGAACTTCCAGTTTGAGGGCCATGCAGCTGGATACCCGGTGGGGAGCTGAAGTTCCAGTTTGAGGGCCATTCAGCTGAAAGACTTGGGGAGAAGCTGATGTTCCAGTTTGAGGGCCGTGCAGCTGGAGACTCGGGGATAGCCGATGTTGCAGTTTGAGGGCCGTGCAGCTGGAGACCCGGGTGGGAACCGATGTTCCAGTTTGGGAGCCATGCAGCTGGAGGCACTGCGGGGAGCAGATGTTCCAGTTTGATGTTCCTCCCTGGGTCTCCAGGTGCACGGCCATCAAACTGGAACATCAGCTCCCCGGCCCTCAAACCGGAACATCAGCTCCCCGCCGGATCTCCAGCTGCACAGCTGTCAACATCAGCTCCTCCCCGAGTCCTCAGCTGCACGACCCTCAAGTTAGAACATCAGCTTCTCCCCAAGTCTTCAGCTGCGTGACCCTCAATCTAGAACATCAGTTCCTCTACAGGTCTGCAGCTGCAAGACCCTCAATCTAGAACGTCAGCTCCTCCCTGAGTCTCCAGCTGAAACACCCTCAAAACGAACAACATCAGCTCCTCCCTGAGTCTTCAGCTGCACGACGCTCAATCTACAACATCAGCTCCTGTCTGGTTCTCCAGCTGCACGACCCTCAAACTACAACCTCAGCTCTTCCCCGAGTCTTCTGCTGCATGACCCTCAATCTAGAACATAAGCTCCTCTCTCGGTGTCCACCTGTAGGGACCTCAAATTAGAACGTCAGCTCCTCCCAGAGTCTTCAGCTGCATGACCCTCAATCTTTAACATCAGCTCCTCTCCGGGTCTGCAGCTGCATGACCCTAAAAATACACGAGCAGCTCCTCCCTGAATCTTCAGCTGTACGACCCTCAAACTACAACATCAGCTCCTGTCTGCATCTCTAGCTGCAGGGCCCTCAAACTAGAATATCAGCTCCTCCCCGATTTTTCACCTGCATGACCCTCAAACTAGAACATCAGCTCCTGTACAGATTTCCAACTGTAGGGCCCTCAAACTAGAACATCAGCTCCTCCCCAAGTCAGCAGCTGCAAGACCCTCAAATTAGCAACTCAGCTCCTCCCGGAGTCTTCAGCTGCATGACCCTCAATCTCGAAGATCAGATACTCTCCGGGTCTTCAGCTGTAGGGCCCTCAAACTATAACATCAGCTCCTCTCCGAGTATTCAGCTGCACGACCCTCAATCTCGAACATCAGCACCTCTTCAGGTCTGCAGCTGTAGGGCCCTCAATCTAGAACATCAGCTCCTCCCTGAGTCTTCTGCTGCACGACCCTCAAACTAGAATCTCAGCTCCTCCCAAGTCTTCAGCTGCACGACCCTCAAACTAGAACCTCAGCTCCTCCCTGAGTCTTCAGCTGCATGACCCTTAATCTAGAACATCAGCTCCTCCCCGAGTCTTCAGCTGCACGACCCTCAATCTAGAACATCAGCTCCTCTCCAGGTCTGCAGCTGCAAGACCTTCAAACTAGAACATCAGCTCCTCTCCAGGTCTGCAGCTGCAAGACCTTCAAACTAGAACATCAGCTCCTCCCCGAGTCTTCACCTGCATGACCCTCAAACTAGAACATCAGCTCCTCTCCAGGTCTCCAGCTGCACGACCCTCAAAGTAGAACATCAGCTCCTCTCCGGGTCTGCAGCTGCAAGATCCTCAAACTAGAACATCAGCTCCTCTCCAGGTCTGCAGCTGCAAGACCCTCAATCTAGAACATCAGCTCCTCTCCAAGTGTGCAGCTGCACGACCCTCAATCTAGAACATCAGCTCCTCTCCAGGTCTGCAGCTGCAAGAACCTCAAACTAGAACATCAGCTCCTCTCCAGGTCTCCAGCTGCACGACCCTCAAACTAGAACATCAGCTCCTCTCCGCGTCTGCAGCTCCACGACCCTCAATCTAGAACATCAGCTCCTCCCCGGGTCTTCAGCTGCACGACCCTCAAACTAGAACATCAGCTCCTCCCTGGGTCTGCAGCTGGAAGATCCACTAACTAGAACATCAACTCCTGTCTAGGTTTCCAGCTCCATGACCCTCAATCAAGATTATCAGCTCCTCTCTGAGTCCCCAGCTGAAAGACCCTCAACGTGAACAACATCAGCTCCTCCCGAAGTCCTCAACTGCATGACCCTCAAACTACAACATCAGCTCCTCCCCGAGTATTCAGCTGCATGACCCTCAATCTAGAACATCAGCTCCTCTCTGACTCTGTAGCTGGAAGATCCACTAACTAGAACATCAGCTCCTGTCTGGGTCTCCAGCTCCATGACCCTTAATCAAGATTATCAGCTCCTCCCTGAGTCCCCAGCTGAAAGACCCTCAACACGAACAACATCAGCTCCTCCCAAAGTCCTCAACTGCATGACCCTCAAACTACAACATCAGCTCCTCCCCGAGTCTTCAGCTGCATGACCCTCTATCTAGAACATCAGCTCCTCCCCGGGTCTGCAGCTGCACGACCCTCAATCTAGAACATCAGCTCCTCCCCGGGTCTGCAGCTGCACGACCCTCAATCTAGAACATCAGCTCCTCCCCGGGTCTGCAGCTGCACGACCCTCAATCTAGAACATCAGCTCCTCCCCGGGTCTGCAGCTGCACGACCCTCAATCTAGAACATCAGCTCCTCCCCGGGTCTGCAGCTGCACGACCCTCAATCTAGAACATCAGCTCCTCCCCGGGTCTGCAGCTGCACGACCCTCAATCTAGAACATCAGCTCCTCCCCGGGTCTGCAGCTGCACGACCCTCAATCTAGAACATCAGCTCCTCCCCGGGTCTGCAGCTGCACGACCCTCAATCTAGAACATCAGCTCCTCCCCGGGTCTGCAGCTGCACGACCCTCAATCTAGAACATCAGCTCCTCCCCGGGTCTGCAGCTGCACGACCCTCAAGGTAGAACATCAGCTCTTCCCCGAGCTAAAACACCTCTCCCACCTGGATCTCCAGCTCCACGAGTCTCACAGAACAGCCACACTGGCTCCTTCATTGTCTTCAGCTCCACAACCTAAGACATCAGTGGGAGCACTGGCTCCTCCCTGGACCTCCAGCTCAACGACTCTCATAGACTTAAAAGGCAGCACCTGCTCCTCCCCAAGGCTCCATCTCCACCACCCTCAGATTTGAACAGCGGTAGCACCACCTCCTCTCCAGGTCTTCAGCCCCATGTCCCTCCCTGAACAATCCCTTCTCATGAAATTCAGCAGTCAAGAAATCTGCAGCGGAAGTAAATGAATAAACGTTTTGTTTTCAAATTGATATCTCTTTTATGTTCATGAATTAACTTTTCTACTTTCCATTAGCCTTGCAATCTACTTATGTCCAAGGTGAAACAGAAACACACCATTTGAAATCACGTTTAAAAACTTAGTAATGTTTTTCAATAAAATCATCACACAGCTGTAGACATGATCTTATTTCTCTCTGCCTGTGCAGAAGTCTTATGAAAATTCAAACTATGAATTTACTTTGTTGAGATTCCCAGAATACACATTAATCCCAACTGTTACTCCCCTCCTTAAAATCTTTTAACACATTCCCATCACCTGAGCATAAATGCCAGCTCCCATCCACAGCCCGAAGTGCCCAGCACGGCCCTGCCCTCTGCCCTGGTCTATGGTCTCCCCTCTTAAATGCCAGCACCATCCACAGCCCACAGTGCCCAGCACGGCCCTGCCCTCTGCCCTGCCCTCTGCTGTGGCCTAAGGTCTCTCCCCGGTGCCGTTCCCTTCCTGACGGACAGGCCTCTGTCCGTTCCTCAAACCACACAGGCTCAGGCCTCACTCCAGGCCTTTGCGCTTCTGTGCCCTCTGCCTAGGGTGCCTTTCCCGGGCTCTGCATCCTCCTCTCAACCCACTGAGCTCCAGCCTGCTGGTCGCCCCTCAGGTGGATGAATACACGGTGTCCTCTCACCCCACCAGCTTTTGCACAGGCTCTTCTCTGTGCCAGACAAACACCCTATCGGGGTTTACTCTCTAAATACCATTCATCCTTGGAGTCTCCACTGAAATATCGCTCCCTGCCCACCCCCCTCACTTGGACTTAACCTTGGTTAGGTTGCCAACCCCCGTCTCCTGACTCCGGGAAGCTAGATGCTCTCCTAGCACTCGGAACTTGCCCATTGCCACATTTGCACACCCGTGGTTACTGGGTTAGGTTGGCGCACAAGTCATCGCGGGTTTTGCCATTACTATTAATGAACGGCAGCAACGGCTCCTCCCCGTTTCTTTTGTTTTTTTTTTCGCCATTACTTTTAATGACTGCTGCACCAACCTATTAGAATCATTTATATTTATCCATCCATCATCTGCCTTCCCCTCTAGAAAGGAAGCTCCATGAGAATAGAGGCCAAATCTACTCAAATCACTCCACCTTCCCAGCACATTGTTTGTCAATAATCATTTACCAACTGACTGATAGAGAAATGCCTTCCCTGTTGCTGGGATGAGGCACATGACACGCCCCTTTGAAAGTCAATTCCATGGACAGTTAGCATTTGCTCTTCACTCCTGCACCCGTGGCGTGGCTGGGCTTAGGCTGATCTAGTCTGGCCTTGACTCCAGGCTAAGGATGGGAACCATGACTGCTCCACACGCCTCTCATCCCACAGCCAGAGCCGCCGTTCCCTGGGGCACGTGCATCTCATGGGGAAAATCAAGAGCCTTAGACGGCAGGCCTGGCAGTGCCCACACATTCCAGGCTTCTGCTTGTGCCGTGTCTGTGAAAATCTCGTTGGCAGAAGCAAGTCACCCAGCCACGAGCAACACCTATGGGACGGATAAGTCCATCCACCCTCCCTCGGGCCCTGGCAAGGTTGTGGCTATGTCATACTCTTACGGGGGGAGTGAAAAATTGAGGCCCAACATTAAATCACCCACGCGAGAAATGTCAGCCTCTGTCCCCACGCTGGAATCATTTTTCACCAGCGGGTTTGCCTGAATTCCCTTTGCAATGGTGTCTGCAGGTTTAGCCCAATGCTGGTCCCCGTGGAGGACACAGAAGCCTCAATGGGCCTCCGTCTGTTGGGAAGAACAAGATATTAGCTTGGCGCAAAACCACCGCAAGCCCCAGGAGGCCCTTGTGCCATGAGACAGGAGAGGGGCAGAGAACTGTGGGAACTCAGGAAAGCTCACATCCCCAGCCCCTCCCGTGCATCCCCAGCCCCTCCGCTGTGACCCCAGCACCAGCCCTCTCCCCTGCTTGCCCCATCTCTGCTTTCTTTTTTTCATTTTCTTTCTTTCCTTGTTTTTGAGACAGGGTTTGGCTCTGTCACTCAGGCTGGAGTGCAATGGCACGATCTCAGCTTACTGCAACCTTCACCTCCTGGGCTGAAGCAATTCTCCCTCCTCAGCCTCCCCAGTGGCTGGGACTACAGGTGCACGCCACCATATCCAGCTAATTTTTTTTTTTTTATTTTGGTAGAGACAGGATTTGCCATGTTGCCCAGGCTGGTCTCAAATTCCTGAGCTCAAGTAATCCTCCCACCTCAGCCTCGCAAAGTGCTGGGATTACAGGCATGAGCCACCGAGTCCAACCTACTTTATTTTTCTCTACAGTACTTGGAACCTTCTAATGTACTAAGGACACGTGTATTTTCTTTCTTTTTTGTCTTCCCTAGAACAGGAGCTTAATGTGGGCAGGTATTTTTGTTGATCTCATTTATCACCCTCTCCCCAGTTCCTGGAACAGGGTCTGGCACATGAATGGTGTGTTCTAAATAAATATTTTTAATAGATAAATAAATGAAATATCCTACAAGAGAAAGCTATATCTGGAACTCACCCATCAACAGAACCTAAAAGCCAAAGACCTTTAGCCTGTCTCTGCCTCTGAACACACCCAACCCCGGAGGAGCCAGCAGAGGAAAAAGAGGAACAAAGGCGGGGAAGGGAGCAGGTGGTGCCCACCAAGCAAGGAACCCTGAGGCTTAGGCCGAACCTGAGCTGGAGAAGGGACTCATCTAGGAACTGGGTATGAGATTAAAGTTTAGATTGGTCTGGCCTGGATTTTGTAACACCTAAACAAGAGTTATTCTATTCTTTTTTTGTTTTTTTTTTTTGAGATGGAGTCTCACTGTCCCCCAGGCTGGACTGTAGTGGCGCTATCTCAGCTCACTGCAACCTCTGCCTCCCAGGTTCAAGTGATTCTCATGCCTCAGCCTCCCGAGTAGCTGGGATTACAGGCGCACACCACCATTCCCGGCTAATTTTGTATTTTTAGTAGAGATAGAGTTTCACCATGTTGGCCCCCGGCTCACGCCTGTAATCCCAGCACTTTGGGAGGCCGAGGTGGGTGGATCATGAGGTCAGGAGATTGAGACCATCCTGGCTAACACGGTGAAACCCCATCTCTATTAAAAATACAAAAAATTAGCTGGGCGTGGTGGCAGGTGCCTGTAGTCCCAGCTACTCAGGAGGCTGAGGCAGGAGAATTGCTTGAACTCCAGATGCAGAGGTTGCAGTGAGCCAAGATCAATGCCACTGCACTCCAGCCTGGGTGACAGGGCAAGCCTTCATCTCAAAAACAAACAAACAAACAAACAAAAAACCTTCAAACGAATGTAAGAATTATTATTTTTTAAAGTACAACTTTAAAAATGCCCCTTACAAATACATCAGTGTTATATTAAGGGAAACCCACTTCAGAAGCACAAAGTTAATTTCTTATAATTCCAAGAAATATGTGAATGTTAAAAAAAACCCAAACACCCGAAAAGGGATCAATCTCAAGATAGTTTGTAACATTTTATTGCAAAAAGAAGGGCAGAGAACAGTCTTCTTCATACCTGTTCACCGTAATAATTTTTAGCAGCTCTCCTGTGCAAAGAAGTCTCATCAATCAATCAGCATACGGGCCACAAATACCTTCTCAGTGCGGTTTCACCTACAATACAAGCACTCAGAAGCACAAATTTAACTGAAGTGAGAAACCAGGCCATTTTGTAGCTTCAGTTTTTCTACCAGTAATATATTAATTTCTTGAAATAGCCTAATAATTTAGTTCTACTATCAAAACAGAAGCCCAATCTGGGAGAACAATTATTATACAAGTCAAACTAATTTCAATCATATTAGTATAGGAATTCATATTAGTATAGGCTAATAATTCATATTAGTAGAGGCGGGAGGATCGCTTGAGCCTAGGAGTTTGAGACCAGCCTGGGCAAGACAGTGAGACTCCATCTCTAATTTTTTTTTTAAATAAAGAAACTCAGAGAGGAGAAGGAAGCGGATTGATATGTGTCTATCCAAGCACAAATTTTGTGTGCCTGTACATACAACACGACTATGAACCTTCCTTCACGCAGCTCACAATCTAGTAGCGAGAGAAAAGTACGAAAACATGAGCCCCCACGATGAGGAAAAAGGCGCATATCAGAGAAAAGAAAAATGCTGCGATGATCCAATGGCAGGAGCAGCGCGCATCCACTTTCTTTGTTTTTTTGAGATGGGGTTTCGCTCTGTCTCCCAGGCTGGAGTGCCGTGGCTTGATCTCAGCTCAATGCAGCCTCAACCTCCCAGGCTCAAGTGATCTTCCCATCTCAGCCTCCCAAGTAGCTGGAACTACAGGCGTGCACCACTACACGTTTACTTTTTGTAGAAACAGGGTCTCACAATGTTGCCAAGGCTGGCATCCTGAAGGGCGGGTGGGGCTTCATCCTACAGAGATGAAAGGCAGAAGAAGCTCAGAGCCCAAAGCAAAGGGGTGGAGGACAAGGGCATCTTCAGAACAGAGTGGCTCAGCTGAGACATCCAGTAGGATGCCACCAGGCAGAGGTGTGGTGGAAAAACACAGGGCCACAGGGTGAATGCTCACATGTGAGGAGCAAACCACCACAGAACACAACAGAAACACGGTGTACTAAATCAGGCTTCAAATCGCAGCCCTGCAACTTCAGAGCTACCACAGGTAACCCAGAAAGGGAGCACGGACAGCACCGCCCACTGCCTGAGGCTATGAGATGGACCAGAAACCTGTGCTTACTAACAACCTGCCTTATTCCAGAAGGAATTCAGGAAACACAAAGACACTCACAGTACAGCAAAATAAAGTAAATGTGAATCATGTTGGCTGAGGAGAAAGTGAAGAGTCTAAGACTATGTCATAAAGTTTACCTCTACTCTAAACTCTCATTACTGGTGAGCCACCAATCTGACTTTAAGTTTTCTAGCAGCTAAATTGAAGAGGAAAATGTAATCAGGTAAAGGTTTATAAGATGCAAACAAAACAGGACAGCCACCACAGTTTCTGAGAAGACGCGCAGCTCCAGCTCCAGGAGAAACAGGGTGGCCATCTCCTGGGGCTGCCCCGCAGCAGGTGTGTCAGCCCCAAAGCCAGCGTCTCTCAGGGTGAACGGTGACTATGGGCTTCATGGGGCCACACACCTCCAGTACAAGCTGAGGAAATCTCCCAGGGCAATTCAAGGAACAGGGTCTCACAATGTTGTCCAGGCTGGTCTCAAACGATCCCCCTGCCTCGGCCTCCCAAAGTGTTGGGAGGTCAGACGTGAGCCACTGCATCTGGCCCCGCATGCACTTTATAGAGGAGGGCTTTGCATCCTGAAGGGCGAGTGGGGCTTCATCCTGCAGAGATGAAAGGCAGAGGAAGCTCAGAGCCCAAGGTAAAGGGGGGCGCCTAACAAAAGCGACTCCATTGGGACCACGGTGAGAGGGTCCCCATACACAGCTTGGGTTAAGCCAGACACTGATTTCAAAGTATCTCAGGAATGGTGGACTCAGCACCTGTCAGGCAATTCTCTCTCTCAAGCAGGCTCCTGGTAGATATTTAGTAGCAGCTGAAATCAAGATTATGTTCTGACTGACACTTGCTGAGGGTTAAAGAGCTATATACGCTTTGAGGACCAGCTGAACTGGGGCAGGACTAACACCCTCTGGTGAAAATACGGGAACCCAAACACACGAGTCAGAGCAGGAGGTGTCTCCCCCACCTCCAAACAATAACGCTGACCTTGGATTTGGGTTAAGTGCCTAGCCCAGGGGTGTGAGTGTTCAGGAAGTGGAAACCATCATCACCATCATCAGGTAATGGAAAACCATCAAAGCTTTGAGCTGGCTTGTTAGCCAAGAATAGTAGTAGTGTATTAGCTACTACTAATACTCACAGCTGACAATTACTGAGCACTTGCTCCGTGCCAGGAATCACGGAGGCACCTCGCATGCATTTCCTCAATACTCCCTCCCAGTAACGGCGAGGACACAAAACTGGTAGAGCCAGGACTGGAATCCAGGCAGGCCCCAAGGCACTCCAGTGGAGCCTGCCAAGGAGGGCAGGCTACCATGCTAATGAGGTCCAGTATTTGACCACCACTCCTAGTTGAGCAAATTAACAGAAAACCTAAAACTAAACTTAAAATCTAAAAATTTGAGCAAATGCATAAAAAGCAGCTGTTAAAATGGATCATAAATCTTGCATCACTCGCTGGAAAACCACTCAAAATAAACGTCTCTGAGACATGGCCTCTGAGGAGGGCACTCCGTGTGGCTCGTATCACCCTGGTGACAAACCACGTGAACCTGGGTGGTCACCTGACCATATTGAACAGACGATGCACAGAGCCATTTGCATCCACTGTGGTCAACATTTAGGAAGTTTTAAGCTAAGATTTGCCAAATTGTAGCCTACTGGATTCCGGGTTCTCTTGACATCTCTTTCTAGTCGCCATGTCTTGCACTTCCCGAGTATAAATAAACTGAGATGCAAATAAAAAAAGGAGGATTTAAGAATAATGAAAAGAGAAAAATCAAGAAAGCACAATCACTAGTGTAGAGATAACAGAATTTCTGAATTCCCTGAAAACAATCTATATAAATGCATGTGAAATAATACACCAGCATCTGTGGCCCATACGTCACATATTAGGAACTGATAACATAAGGTAAACATGTTACTCTGAAAACACAAATCCTCACAAATCATTAGGCAGTAAGACTGAATCCAGCACCTCCCCCCCCACCACCCACAGCGCAGTGAGGCAGTGTCTAGCAGCCGTAGTGCTCCCCGCGCCCCAGTTCAGTCTCTGGCAACATCAGATACTTCCCACTAATAACGAGGAGCCTTTCAACATTTTCACAACATCTCAAAACTGACCCCTTTTCTAGCTTAAATGGCACGGATCTGGAAAGGCAAACTATACACAGAATCAGAAAAGATGACTGCCCCTGAGGGATTACAGAAAAAGCAGCAGTCAGGTGTTCAATGAAGTAAAATGTATCCAATGATAGCTCAGGGGAGGGGGATCAATTGAGCTGAAACTGGCAAGAACGTAACTCCAGGGAGCTCACAACACGCCAAGGACCCAGATTTCCCGCTGCCTGAACGCCCAATATTCGCACACTGATAAGAACGCCTCCCCATAACTCCCCTGCCAGCGCCTCCAACACCCCCAATCCTTTCCCCAGGAACCCAGTCCCAGTTTCTGCAGTTCCTGTAACAGCCACGTTCCCACACAAGTGCTGCCTGAGCTCCCCAAGCCCTCCAACAATCACCCCCCAGTGCCCTCGAAGGTCTATTCAGAGAAGTCACCAAGATGCAGTCACCCAGGAAATTCAAGGACCCCCAACTTACCAAAAGGCTTTCGGCTGGACAGAGCTAACCTTCCTATTCCCCTCCTAAACCTACAACCTAGTTTTCATTTCTCAAGAAGCCTTTCCCTGCGCTCACGCACGCCGTTGTTAGCTGGCTCGGTGAGGCACTCCAAGCAGTAACAGCGGTAGCCACAAAATAAACCAGAAGCATCTCCACCATGAAGCAGTAATAATTTGTCCTAATGATTCCTTTGTCCTTGGAAAATCAACTTCAGAAAGAAAGTTATCCACTGTGAGCAGGGCAGGCTCGCGGCTTCTTGGTCCGGAGACCCAGGTCCCACTGGCCCACTCACCCTTGGAGAGAGCTTGCTGAAGCTGGGTGTCCGATATCACTCCACTCCTCTCTATCAACCCTATAACATCAAGAAGACCAAACAAGCTGGCGATCGAAAGTTCAGGAAAAGCAAAACAAACGTCTCCTGTCAACCCTGCACCGACTCTGGAAGGCTCCCTCCTGGAACCTCCGCCTCTCCGGTCCCGCTGAGGAGTACAGCGGAATCAAGGAAGTGCCCCAGGAGCCACGTCCAAGTGTGTTCTTCCCCTAAGAGGACAATCATCTTTCTCTCTCTTTTCCCACCTCAATCCTTCCCTTCCTTCCCCTCCTGACCTGTCTGAATTCCCATTTGCACCAGTTTCCCTTTTTCACAGACAAGACAAGATTCCCTCAGATAACTAAGCCATTCCCTGGCCATGAGTTACTACAGTTTCGGTCATTCATTCAGTGGAAAAGCGACCAGGGACAGAAGGCGCCGCCATAAAGGTCACCTGGCCCGAGCAGACGCCAGGTCGCTGCTTCTTCCTTGGCTGCTGACATTTTAACAGCGGCCCAGACAGTCTGTTTCCGCTTTCCCCAAACAAGCACCCTGGAGACCCTCCCCCGACGGCTCGAGGCGAGAAACGGGGCCTGGCCCAGGAGCCGGTGGCCGCGACCTCGGGTCTGCAGTGGCGCCCTCTGCACCTTGGGAAGCGCCCGACGCACAGGACAGGGACCGGGCAGGAGGCAGGGGCGGCCCCAGGAGACCGGGCAGCGGACGGGGGAGACCGCGGGGGACCCGGAAGGGGATGGGGGCGGCCGCGGGGGTCGGGGCAGGGGATGGGGGCGGCCGCGTCGGTCGGGGTAGGGTTCGGGGGCGCCCGCGGGGGTCCGGGCAGGGGCGGGGGAGACGGCGGAGGTCGGGGCAGGGGACGGGGGAGGCCGCTGGGGACCCGGCAGGTGACGGGGGAGGCCGCGGGGCAACCGGCAGGGAACGGGGTTGGCCGCGGGGGTCGGGACACGGGTCCGGGGCAGCTGCGGGGGAGGCGGGAGGTGCCGGGGCGGTGCCAGGTGGCAGCTCTGGAAGACGTTCCACAGGAAGCTCTGGTCGGGCAGCGCCGCGCCCGCAGCAGGCCCAGGGCCGCCCAAGGCCGGGGCGGTAGGAGTAGGCGGCCAAGGGCCAAGGCGCGCGGCTGGGCTGAGGCACCTGCGGCCACGGGCGACCTCAGAGCGACTGTGCTTCCGCCTCTGCCGGGGGCAGGGCCAGGCGTTACCGCCGCTTCCGGGGGCGCAGGAAATGCGCGTTGTCCGGGATCCTCCGGCGCAGGCCACCTGCGCGCGGGGCCGGGAAGGCGCTTGGAGGAAATGTCCCGCGCCGCGACCCGGGACAGGCAGTGATGGAGCAGGGATTTCGTTTGCCTTTTAGTTCTTGTATAAAAAGAAGTTTTGACGTGAATATGATTCACGCTAACAGTCGGAAACTCTGGGCGGGGCGCGGTAGCTCACACCTGGGATCCCTGCGCTTTGTGAGGCGGAGGCGGGCGGAGCTCTTGAGCCCAGCAGTGCGGACCAGCCTGGGCAGCGGGGCTAGACCCCATCCCTACAAAAATTACAGCAAGTAGTCGGGCGTGGTGGGCTCCTGTGGTCCCATGTACTCCGTGGGCTGAGGCGGGAGGATCGCCTGAGCCCGGGAGGTCGAGGCCGCAGGGAGCCGAGATCACTGCAGCTCCAGCCCGGTGGACAGCGAGACTCTGCAAAAAAAAAAAAAAAAAAAGCAAGCAGGCCGGGTGCGGTGGCTGACGCGTGTAATCCCAGCACTTTGGGAGGCCGAGGCCGGTGGATCACCTGAAGTCAGGAGTTCGAGACCAACCTGGCCAATATGGAGAAACCCAGTATCTACTAAAAATACAAAATTAGCCGGGCGTGGTGGCGCACGCCTGTAATCCCAGCTACTCGGGACGCTGAGGCAGGAGAATTGCTTGAACCCGGGAGGCGGAGGTTGCAGTGAGCCGAGATCAGGCCATTGCACTCCAGGCCTGGGCAACAAGAGCAAAACTCCGTCTCAAAAAAAAAAAAAAAAAAAAAAAAGGCAAAGCACAATTCGCGTGGGAAGGGCAGTGTGCAGCGTTCTCCGTTGTCTGTTCCGCCCCCAAAAGCTTCCCTCCTTTAGGTTTAACCTGCGCCCCCGCGCTCTGCATCAGCGCGGTCCCCGACCGGTGCAGCTGGAAACACTGGGCGCCTCCCTGCCGGGCCCCTTCCCGCCCCTGTGGTGGTGCAGCCCTGCCTCCCGCAAGACAGCACTGCCTTCGTGCTGGACACAGTTCTATGGTGGAGCCTGGAGTGCCTGTATCACAAATCCCGGAGTTGGGAAGTGCCCACCTTTGGGCCAGTGTGATCCCTGGGTCTTTCCCGGGGTGGTCTCATGCGGCCTTCCACTCCAGTCCTGTGTCCTGTGCCCCGGTTCAGAATACTACAATTATTCTCGTTATTTCATGGGGTTATTCCAGCTTTTCAGTTTCGTCAGTGCCTCATTCCATGAATGCTAACTTTTTTCATCCTCATAGTTCCTAGGGTTGTCTCTGAATTTTCACCCAGTTGCCTACCAAGATGTTGTCTGTGTCTAATGCAGGGGATGGTGCAGGTCTGAATATCTTACTCACAGCTCACCTTTTTGGTGCCTTTGATCCGTGTTAGGAATTATCCACATCTTCTCTCTGGGCAGTATTCTACTTTCTTTTTATATTGACCCAATTATTTTACTTCTTTGGTGTGTCCTTTCTCCTAACACATACGGGTTCACTTTGAAACCTTGAAACCCACATTTACAAAAACATTTTCAATATGAAACATTGTTCCATGACTCATTACTGGAGTACCATCAACATTTACATTTCCAGACCACCCACTGCCCAGTGGTTTTCTTGGTCTCAGTACTCATGAAAACGGTCTGAAGGTTTGTTTTGGGTTCCTAAGTAGTAGACACACGCACAACACTGCCTGTCAGTTATTTCTTGGAAACTAAATCAGCCCTTCTGTTGCCATCCTATCATGCTTCAGGGGTGCCTGTGCTAGTTTTTAATTCTTTGTTCTAACACTTAAATGTTTGCTCAAACGCCCATATTAATACTTCCTCTTAGTTTACAAAAGGATTTACTTTCTTACTGGTTGGGATGAAGCTGCCTGAGGTTGCCACCTGTTATTTTTCCTTCATTTATTGGACCATGTCATCCCATTACATGTCAGCCGTGGAGGTTTTCAAACTGTGGTCCCTGGACATGTTAAAAATGCAAATTCTCAGGCCGAACCAGGACTGAATTGGAAGATCTGGGGTAGGGTCCCCCCAGGACTGAATCAGAAGATCTGGGAGGGTCTGGTGCTGTGCACCCCGACATTCCCTCACTACCCCACTGCCTCTCCCTGCCCTGTGGTCACCACAGCAGCCGCCTCTGCAACCTTGACTATCAGCATGCAGGTCCCAGGACTCGGGGGTCTCCTAACCCGTGCACCCCGACATCCCCCTCACTACCCCACCGCCTCTCCCTGGCTCTGCCTCTGCGTGGCTCCTCTCCTGCTGCCCCCAGAAGGTTTTTGTAAAGCCCGACTCAGGGCGTGCATGGCCTCTCCCTCTCCCACACATGGGCTCCCCGTCCCCTCCAGCTCAGCAAACACACAGCACATCCAGGAGCCACGTGGGACCGCAGTGTCCCATGGCCGGTCCCCCAGATCCCTTGGATGTCTCACTCTGGTGAGCCCCTCGCTCCAGTGCCCTCCAGGAAGCCCCCGTCTCCCCATACAGAAGGGATCTCTTCCCTCCTGAGCCATCGGTGCCCGACCCTCCCTCTCCTCTGTCGCCCCATTTGTGGCAGGTCAGCCACACCCGTGAGCCCCGGAGCTCTGTGAAGGCCGTCACGGCTCCTTATGACGGCGCCCAAACAGTGCAGGCAGCCGGAAGCTGTTCCCTGATGAAAGAAAGGAAGAGGAAAGGAGGAGGGAGGGAAGAAGGCCTTTTCTTGTCCCGAGAGACTTCTGTAGGAATTTTTGGGTGATACTGAGCATGGTAGACCCAGGTCATCTTTCCACGAGAGGGGCCAGAGTACCGCAGGCTCAGCCGCGGTCAGGGGCTCAGGGCGCCGGGGAAGCATTCGCGTGGGCTGCCCCCACGGGCCGCCTTTGCCACCAAGACCCACTCTTCCAGCCAGGCCTTGGGCCGGCCCTGCTTTCCCTTCGGACAAGGTCTTCAGTCCACCGAGAGGATGGCCCACCTCCTGCCCCTGGGTCAGTGCGCAGCCCCAGGGAGGAGCTGTGTGAACCTGGGAGGTGCTGGGGAGCAAGGGTGCTCCACCAAGGGAGGCAGGAGGCCGGAGACCAGCCCGGCCCAGGAGGAGCCTGGCCAGGAGTCCCACCAAAGCCACTGGACCCGGGGAGCCTCCAGTGACCCAGCCTTGTAGGGTCAGCACTGTCCCTAGGACAGAGTCTGCTTCGTACACAGGTCTCGCTGTCTGTGGAGGCTTCAGGCCCCGATGCCTGGGCACACGGACTGACGGCAACCCTCGGGGTGGGAGGCCCCAGATGGGACTTCCTGGCCTGCCCGGGGTGGCGGGGGGGCGGGTGGGAGAGGACGGAGCGTCTGTGTGCATGTGTGAGAGCCTCAAGGACGGCATGTCTGTGAAGATGGCTTCACCCAGCCGCGGCTGCCTTCCGTGTGTGGGCAGCGGTGACGGAGCCGTGACCTCACGGGACAGCCTTTGCCGTGTGGTTTTCCCGCCTCTGGTCCCTTTCCTGGGCTGAGGATCCTGGCTCTGGGGCTCAAGGTGTGGGGTTCGCCAGCACCGGCTCCTGCCATAGACATCCTGGTGGCCCTGGCACAGGCCTGTCCTCCAGCATGGTTCCTAGACCCACCACGCAGGACTCCTAGGCCCCTGAGGGTTGGCAGGAGTGAGGCAGGCAGTCACCAACTGCCCTTGGGTGAGGCTGGTGGCCAGGGGGGGACCCAGCAGGTGCAAGCCAGGCCATCCCCAGCAGCCGCCGGAGCCCATGTCTTTCCCACCGCACAGCACAGCCAGGACATGGGGGTCAGGCCATTACTTACGCTTCTAGTCCTTACATCACCCACAACTTACCCCTGACCTGTGCCTGGCTGTGGTGCCCGCAGCCTGGGCTCCACATAAACACAGGCCAAGAAGTCCCATCTGCAGCCTCCCACCGCAAAGGTTTCCGGCAGTCCGGGCTCCCCAGGCACCGGCTCTGCAGCCCCCACAGACAGAGAGACCCCTGTGTGAAGTCCGGGCTCCTCAGGCACTGGCCCTGCAGCCCCCACAGACAGAGAGACCTGTGTGTGAAGAATCCGTTTGAGGGACAGTGCTGACCCTCCAGGGCTGGGTCACGGAGGCTCCAGTGGCTTTGGTGGGACTCCTGGCCAGGCTCCTCCTGGACTGGGCCTGGGCTGGTCTCCGGCCTCCTGCCTCCCTTGGTGCAGGATCCTTGCTCCCCAGCTTCCCTGGGAAATCCGACGCCTTCTGATCCTGCATGCATCCGGCACCCCTGACGCTGGCGGAGTTGCCTTTCTGCGTGTATAGCTCCTAACAGGGCAGCACAGCTGTTCTGAAACCTCACACATCATCACTGGGGTGGCTGAGGCTGGGCCACCTGGTGTTCACCTCCTGACCCTGGAACTGTGCAGAGAACCTCTCTTCAAATAGGAGGCAGGTCTTTGTGGCTGTGTTTAAGTTAAAGATCTTGAGATAAGGAGGTCATTCTGGATTAACTCGTTGGCCCTACATGCACGGCAAGTGTCCTTACACAGAGGCAGAGGGAGGTTAGACGCAGACAGAGGAGGAGGTCGCCTGGAGACCGAGGCAGAGGTGCAGCATTGTGGCCGCGGCCCAGGGACGCCTGGAGCCACAGAAGCTGGTGGAGGTGGCAGGGTCCTCCCCTGGAGCCTCTGGAGGGAGCACGGCCCATGGACTCGATTTCAGACCCCTCCCTGCTGAGCGGGGAGAGAATGAGTCCCTGTTGTTTTGAGCTGCCGAGACTGTGGGGATCTGCCATGGCAGCTCCAGGACCCTCAGACCTTCGGCTCAGAGCCCCTCTAGCACTGAGCAAGACGACCACTCAGGGCCGCCCCTCCCCGCCCAGCCAGCATGTGCCTCGCTGCTCACCCGACCACGCAGCCCTCAGTTACAGATGCCTGCCCGGGATACGTGGGACGAGGGCTGCGGCTTCCCTGGGGACGGGGTGCGTGGAGCCTGCCTGCAGCCGTGTTCCTGTTTACGTGCTGAGTGAAGCTGGACCTGGGTGGGATGGGGCATTCTGCCCAAGGGTCTCTTGGGGGGTCCATGAGGACTGTGTTCTGACGATACTGCCCTCCTTCCTGAGGCTGCCGTGGGGCTCCATGGAGGCCATGGGGTGGTGAGGATGGAAGAACACCTAGGCTGGGCTCCTGGGACCCCAGCAGCAGCTGAAGGCACTTGGAGCACCACAATTCCCACCCACGGGCCAGGCAAGCCCAGAACCGTCCCCAAAGAAGGGAGCAAGGAGACACGGCCTTTTAGTGATAATATCATAACCAAAAAGTTCTTTAACATTTTTTCATTTTTTTCTGTCACTCAATATTTTTAAAATTATATGTCCATTTTTTTTATTATTTCACCCATCTAATCATTGCCATCTATACCAAACAAAAAAATCTATGCACCGGTGTTCACAAAGCATTTAAGATGCCTGTGAAATGTAATAAGAACTAACTGCAGCTGCACAATATTCCCTCGTATGTATGTTATCACCATGCTGACGCTGGGCACTCAGAGCATTTAAAGGTTTTTATTATAATG